>NT_187583.1:0-204059 GCF_000001405.40 Homo sapiens
GAATTCTTTGACTATGTGAATTCTGAGGGATAATAAACCAATAGTTGAGAACCTGTAGCTCATGAAAGAATGTGTTCCATCTCTTCCTTAATTGATCTTCATTAATTGCACCTCAATTACTCTAGTGTCAGGCCTTATTGCCTTTGGTGTTGGTTCTGTTATTAAAATCTATTTTTTAAACTTCCCAATTGGTCCCGCCTGAGTTTAATGGTGCAAACCATCCAATATCTATATAAAAATGTTAACATATTTGACCCCCTATGATGCCTCTTCTACCTTCCTTTTTCTAAATTTAAACTCTCATAGTTCCTTTGGCCATTCCACTGTGAAATACCATTTAGATCCCTCACAATTCTCTTTGTCACTCTCTGAACATACTCTGATCTGAGGAATGAAGCCAAATACTGAGCAACATTTATGCTCTTTGCCTCCTGACTGAGGCAGAGTTCAGTGGAGCTTACCTTGCTTTCATTGTGCACACCACTTGAGCTTCAATCTATGCTGATCACAGAGTCATGGAGTGACTAGAGTCAAATAATTAGATCCTGGGCCTCCTGCCAAACAGCTGTATTATTGGTGCATAATGTCTCTGACTCTCAGTTTTTGCATTTGTGAAATAGAAATAATTGTCCCTAAAATACAGCTTTGTTATTTGACTTAAAGGAATGATGATACCTATAAAGCACCCATAGGTGTTTGGTCATACATCAGGGCTAAGAACCTAAATTTCATTAAGTAAAAATGAAGTATTGGTATATGATTATTTATTCATTTTTTATGAGAAGTAAATTGTCTTTCAACACAGGTCGGGGGATTTTCACCTCAAATCCAATATAAGACAGGAAGTACAGTATCTGGTGCCTTCTTGGTTCTGGACTATGCCATTTAGATATATAACATGCCAACTGATTGTTGCCTTCCCTTCCTCTCCACTGGACGCCTAAGGTCCTCTCTAGAGTTCTTCATTTTGGCATCCATTCATGCTTGTCTACCTGGGTCAGGGACTCTAACTACTCAAATATTCTTTCAATACTTAAATGCCTGGGTCACTTTTGATGATGAATCGAGGGTATAGGACTGGGAGCCCCACCCAACCTGAAAATCAGACTGCTTCTTTAAGGGAGACCCTGATCCACTCCTCATCTTTGGACAGGACCTTCCAACCAGGGCCTCCAACCACCACCACCCATATTCTCTGGCTAACAGTTTTGATTTCTCCCTGGAATTGAGTGCCTGTAGGGAGGGGCGGGCCACCATTTTTACTGTTTGGGCAACTCAGCCATTCCATCCTGCTGGCTTTGGAGAGTTCAAACAGATTGGGTGAAGATAGGATTCCCCAACACAGCACATCTGCTCTACCAAAACATAGCCAGACTGCTTCTTTAAGTGGGACCCCAATCTCTTCCTCATCTCTGGGCAGGACCTCCCAACCAGGGCTTCCAACCACCCCTGCCTGTATTCTCCAGCCAACAGTGATTTGATTTCTCCCTGGGACTGAGCTCCCAGCAGGAGGGGCAGGCCACCATCTTTGCTGTTTGGGCAACTCAGTTGTTCCAGTCTGTGGGCTTTGGAGAGCCCAAACTGACCAGGGTTGAAGCGGTACCCCAGCATGGCACAGCTGCTCCACAAAAGTGTGGTCAGACTGCCTCCCTAAGCATGTCCCTGATCTATTCCTTCTTGCTGGGTAGGACTTCCCAACTAGGGCCTCCAGCCGCTCTCACTGATGTTTTCTGGCTGTCAGAGGTTTGAAAACTTCCTGGGACAAAGCTCCTAGACAGAGGGGTGGGCTGCCATCTTTGCTGTTTTGGCAACTTAGCCATTCCAGCCTCCAGGTTTTGGAGAGCCCAAGCTGACTAAGGGCAGAATTAGTACCCCAGCACAGCACAACTGCTCTATGAAAGCATGGCTAGACTGCTTCTTTAAGCAGGTCCCTGATCCTGTTCCTCCTGACTGGGTGAGGCTTCCCAACCTGGGTCTCCAGCCACCTCCTACAGGTGCATTTGGGCTGGCAACGGGTCTATACCCCTCTGGGATGGAGTCCCCAGAGGAAAGAGCAGGCTGCCATCTTTGCTTTTTTGCAGCCTTCACTGCTGATACTGCCACATACTGAAAAATCCATAGGCAACTAGGGGCTGGAGTGGAAACTCAGCAAAACCCACAGCAGCCCTATAGAAAAGTGGCCAGACTGAAAAAACAAACAAACAAACAAACAAACAACCACCATAAGCTCACAAAGATGAGAAAAAATCAGCACAGGAACACTGAAGATTCAAAAAGCCAGAGTGATCTCTTCCCTCCAAATGACCACATCACCTCTCCAGCAAAGGTCTAGAACTGAGCAGAGGCTGAGATGACTGGAATGACAGAAGTAGACTTCAGATTCTGGATAAAAACAATCTTCACTGAGCCAAAGAAGCATGTTCTAACTCAATGCAAGGAAGCTAAGAATTATGAAAAAACATTGCAAGAGCTAACAGACAAAATAGCCAGTATAGAGAAGAACAAAACCAACCTGATAGAGCTGAAAAACACACTACAAAAATTCCATAATGCAATCACAAGTATTAATAGCAGACTAGACCAAGTGGAGGAAAGAATCTCAGATCTTGAAGATTGTTTTCTGAAATAGGACAGGCAGACAAGAATAGAGAATAAAAATGAAAAAATGAACAAAACCTCCGATAAATATGGGATTATATAAAGAGACTGAATCTACCACTGATTGGTGTACCTGGAAGAGATGAGGAGAATGAAACCAATTTGGAAAACATATTTCAGGATATTAAAGAGGAGAACTTTTCCAACCTAGCTAGACAGGCCAACATTCAAATTCAGGAAATGTAGAGAACCCCAGTAAGATACTCCATGAGAAGATCATCACCAAGACACATAATCATCAGATTCTCCAAGATAAAAATGAAAGAAAAAATGTTAAGGGTAGCCAGAGAGAAAGCCCAGGTCACCTACAAAGGGAAACCCATCAGACTAACAGGGGACCTCTCAGCAGAAACCTTATAAGGCAGAAGAAATTGGGGGCCTATATTCAACATTCTTAAAGAAAAGAAATTTCTACCCAGAATTTCATACCTGGCCAAACTAAGTTTCATAAGTGAAGGAGAAATAAGGTCCTTTTCAGACAAGGAAATACTGAGGGAATTCATAACCACCATACCTGCCCTACAAGAGCTCCTGAAGGAAGCACCAAATATGGAAAGGAAAAACCATTACCAGCCACTACAAAAACACACTGAAGTACCACAGACCAGTGACACTATAAAGCAACCACAAAAACAAGTCTGCAAAAAAACCAGCTAGCATCATCATGACAGGATCACATCCACACATAATAATACTAACCTTAAATGTAAATGGGCTAAATTCCCCAATTAAAAAACATAAAAAGGCAAGCTGGATAAAGAACCAAGACCCAATAATATGCTGTCTTCAAGAGACCCATCTCATATGCAATGACACACATAGGCTCAAGAGAAAGGGATGGAGGAAAATTTACCAAGAAAACAAAAAAACAGAAAAAAGCACGAGTTGTAATCCTAGTTTCTGAAAAAACAGACTTTAAACCACAAAGATCAAGAAAGACAAAGAAAGGCATTACATAATGGCAAAGGGTTCAATTCAATAAGGCTAACTATCCTAAATAAATATATATGCACTCAACGTAGGAGCACTCAAATTCAGAAATCAAGTTCTTAGAGATCTTCAAAGAGACTTAGACTCCCACACAATACTAGTGGGAGACTTTAACACTCCACTGACAATATTACACAGATCATTGAGACAGAAAATCAACAGATATTCAGGACCTGCCATCAACTCTGGATCAAATGAACCTGAAAAATATCTACAGAACTCTCCACCCTAAAACAACAGATGGTACATTTTTCTCATGGCCCCATGGCACTTACTCTAAAATTGAAAAAGTAAGCAGAAGTAAAATACTCCTCAGCAAATGCAAAAGAACTGAAGTCATAACAGTCTCTCAGACCACAGTGCAATCAAATTAGAACTCAAGACTAAGAAGCTCACTCAAAACCATACTATTACATGGAAATTGAATAACGTGCTCCTGAATGACTTTTGGGTAAATAACGAAATTAAGCCAGAAATCAAGAAGTTCTTTGAAACTAATGAGAACAAAGATACAACATACTAGAATCTCTGGGACACAGCTAAGGCAGTGTTAAGAAGGAAATTTATAGCACTAAATGCCCACATGAAAATGCTAGAAAGATCTCAAGTTAACAACCTAATGTCACAACTAAAAGAACTAGAGAACCAAGAGCCAACAAAATCCAAAGCTAGCAGAAGACAAGAAATAATCAAAACCAGAGCTGAACTGAAGGAGATTGAGACACAAAAAACCATTCAAAAGATCAACAAATCCAGGAGCTGTTTTTTTGAAAAAATTAATAAAATAGGTAAACTGCTAGCTAGAATAATAAAGAAGAAAGAGAGAAGATTCAAATAAACACAATCAGAAATTATAAGGGGGATATTACCACTGACCCCACAGAAATACAGCCTCTCTCTCCTCCTGCAAGCCAAGATGTCAAAAGGAAAGAAGGCCAAGGGGAAGAAGGTGGCTCTGGCCCCTGCTGTCATGAAGTAGGTGGCCAAGAAAGTGGTGAATCCCCTGTTTGGGAAAAGGCCTAAGAATTTTGGCACTGGACAGGACATCCAGCCCAAAAGAGACCTCACCTGCTTTGTGAAATGGCCCCACTATATCAGGTTGCAGTGGCAGAGAGCCATCCTTTTTAAGTGGCTGAAAGTGCCTCCTGCAATTAACCAGTTCACCCGGCCCTGGACCACCAAACAACTACTCAGCTGCTTAAGCTGGCCCACAAGTACAGACCAGAGAGCAAGAGAAGAAGCAGAGGTGGTTGGCCCAAGCTGAAAAGGAAGCTGCCAGCAAAGGGGATGTCCCCACTAAGAGACCACCTGTTCTTTGAGCAGGAGTTAACACTGTCACCACCTTGGTGGAGAACAAGAAAGCTCAGCTGGTGGTGATTGCAGATGACGTGGATCTGGACGTCTACTCCACAGGAAGACCTGCACCACTGTCGCCTTCACACAGGTTAACTTGGAAGACAAAGGAGCTTTGGCTAAGCTGTTGTAAGCTATCAGGACCAATTACAATGACAGATACGATGAGATCTGCCATCAATGGGGAAGTAATGTCCTGGGTCCCAAGTCTGTGGCTCACATTGCCAAGCTCAAAAAGGCAAAGGCTAAAGAACTTGCCACTAAACTGGGTTAAATGTACACTGTTGAGTTTTCTGGACATAAAAATAATTAAAGTAATACAAATTTTCCTTCAAAAAAAGAAATACAAACAGCCATCAGAGAATATTATAAACACCTCTATGTACATAAACTAGAAAATCTAGAAGAAATGAATAAATTCCTAAACACATACATACACCCAAGACTGAACAAGGAAGAAACTGAATCCTTGAACAGATCAATAAACAGTTCTGAAATTGAGGCAGTAATAAATAGTCTAAATAAATAAATAAAGCCCAGTACCAGACAGATTCACAGCTGAATTTTACCAAATGTTCAAAGAAGGGCTGATACCATTTCTACTGAAACTATTCCAAAACATTGAAAAGGAGGGACTCTTTCCCAACTCATTCTAGGAGGCCAGCATCATCCTGGCACCAAAACCCAGCAGGATAAAAATCACATGATCATCTCAATAGATGCTGAAAATGCATTTAAACAATTCAAGTTCCTTTCAAGATTAAAATGCTCAACAAATTACGAATGGCAAGAATGGTCCCTTAACACAATAAAGGCCATATTTGACAATCCCACAGAAAATCCTTAGATCCCACAGAAAATTCTGATTTTCTCCACAATCAGGAGCAAGACAAAGATGTACACTATCACCACATTTATTCAATGTAGCAATGAAAGCCCTAGCCAGAGCAATCAGGCAAGAAAAAGATATAAACGCCATCCAAACCAGAAAGGGAGAAGTAAAGTTACCCCATTTGCATAACACATGATTAAACATATATAAGAAAAAAATAAAGATGTCAGACAAAAACAAAATTTTACAACTAAGAAATAAATTTAGCTAAGTTGCAGAATACAAAATCAACATGCAAAAATCAGTTGCATTTTTTACACCAATGACAACCTATCAGAGAAAGAAATCAAGAGTTTGCTGAAAGAAATAAGATCTGGACTGGCATGGTAGCTCATGCCTGTAATCCCAGCACTTTGGGAGGCTGAGGCAGGTGGATCACGAGGTCAGGAGTTCAATATCAGCCTGGCCAATATGGTAAAACTCCATCTGTACTAAAACTACAAAAATTAGCCAGGCGTGGTGGCACTGTAGTCCCAGCTACTTCAGGAGACTGAGGCAGAAGAATTGCTTGAACCTGAGAGATGGATGTTGCAGTGGGCCAAGACTGCACCACTGCACTCCAGCCTGGGTGACAGAGTGAGACTCCATCTAAAACAAAAAACAAAAAAAACAAGGCCAGGTGCAGTGACTCATGTCTGTAATCCCAGCATTTTGGGAGGACAAGCTGGGCAGATCAAGAGGTCAGGAGTTCGAGACCAGCCTGGCCAATATGGTGACACCCCATCTCTACTAAAAATACAAAAATTAGCCAGGCATGGTGGCATGTGCACGTAGTCCCAGCTACTCAGGAGGCTGAGGCAGAAGAATCGCTGGAACCCAGGAGGCGGAGGTTGCAGTGAGCCAAGATCTCACCACTGCACTCCAGCCTGGGTGACAGAGTGAGATTCAGTCTCAAAAAAAAAAAAGAAAAGAAAAAGAAAAAAAGAAATAAGATATACCATTAGATAGGTCAGTAGGGCAGTAGAGTGACTGTAGTTTACAATAATCTATTGTACACTTCAAAAGTCTAGAAGGGAATTCAAATGGTTTTAGCACTAAAAAAAGACAAAATTTAAGGTGATGGATATTCCACGTACACTGATTCACTGATTTGACCTTTACAAACGATATTAATCTATTAAGTTATTACATGTACCCCAAACAATGTACATCTATTATGGATGAGTTAAAAAGAGGTAAAAAAGAAATTAAAAAAGCAAACTCATTTAGGATCACATCAAAAAGAATAATATACTTAGGGTTACTTTTTTTTTTTAATTTTTCTTGAGACAGTCTCACTCTGTTGCCCAGGCTGGAGTGCAGTGGTACAATATCAGCTCACTGCAACTGCCACCTCCCAAGCTCAATCGATTCTCCCACCTCAGCCTCCTGAGCAGCTGGGACTATAGGCATGCTCCAACATATCCAGCTAATTTTTGTATTTTTAGTAAAGGCGGGTTTTTGTCATGTTGGCCAGGCTGGTCTCAAGCTCCTGACCTCAGGTGATCCACTCCCCTAGGCCTTCCAAAATGCTGGGATTATAGGCATGAGCCACTGTGCCAGGCCTACCTAGGGTTACTTTTAATCAAGGAGGGAAAAGACCTCTACACTGAAAGCTACAAAGCATTAAGAAAGAAATTGAAGAAAACACAGATAAATGACCCCAAATAGTAAAACAATTTTAAACAAGAAAGGTAAGGCTGGGGGCATCACACTTTCTGATTTCAAATTACATTAACTAAGCTATAGTAATCAAAATAGTATGGTGCTGGCACAAAAATAAACCCACAGAAATGCAAATCAACACCGTAGTGACTTATCACCTCACACCATTAGGATGACTACTATCAAATAAAAACAGAAAATAACAAATGTGGATGTGCAGATATTGAAACCCTTGTGCATTATTTGTAAAAACGAAAAATGGTGCAGGCAGCCACTGTGGAAAACAACGTGGCAGTTCCTCAAAAAATCAAAATTAGAATTATCATATAATCTAGCAATTTCACTTTTTGGTATATACTCTCCTAAACTGAAAAACAATTGGGTATATACCCAAAATATTGATGTATTTGTACAGCTGTGTTCATAGCAGTATTCTTCATAATAGCCCAAAGGTGAAAGCAACCCATGTGTCCATGGATAGATAAATGGATAAACAAAAAATGTGGTATATATATATATAAGAAAATATTTTTCAGTCTTAAAAGGGAAGGAATCAGTGTGAGGATGGGTGGATTAAAAACAAAAAGAAGGAAGGAAATTCTGAGGTATGCTACAACATGGATGAGCCTTGAGGACATTATGCTACATGAAATGAGCCAATCACAAAAAGACAAATACTGCATGATTCTACATGTAGAAGTTACTTAGAGTAGTCAAATTCATAGAGACAGAAAGTAGAATGGTGATTTACTGAGGCTGAAAGTGAGAGGGGAATGAAGAGTTACTGTTTACTAGTTACAGTTTCAGTTTCAAAAGATGAAGCGTTCTGAAGATAGATGGTGGTGATGGTTGTATAACAACGTGAATTTTTTTTTGGTTGTTTGTTTCTTTGTTTATGGAGTTTCGCTCTTGTTGCCCAGGCTGGAGTGCAATGGCACGATCTCGGCTCACTGCAACCTCCGCCTCCCCAGCTCAAGTGATTCTCCTGCCTCAGTCTCCCAAGTAGATGAGATTACAGGCATGTGCCACCACATCCAGCTAATTTGAATGTTCTTAACATCACTGAACTTTACACTTAAAATGGTTAAGTTGGACATTTTTGTTATATGTATTTTACCACAATTAAAATCAATTTTAAAAAGTATATATCCCCAGAGGTCAACAGAAAGACTAGAGAGCACAGAAATAAACCCATGCATATATGGTTAACTAATTTTAGACAAGGTTACTGAGCACACACAACAGCAAAAGGATAATCTCCATAGTAAGCACTTTTGGGAAAACTGGATATGCACATGTAAAACAAAGAAATTGTACTCATTTTAAACCATTCTCAAAAACCAACTCAAAATTGATTAAGACCAAAACATGATACCTAAAACCGTAAAACTCCTAGAGGAAAATACAGGGGGAAATCTGCTTGACATTGACCTTGGCAATTATTTTTTGGATTTGACAGTAAAAGCTCAGGTGAGAAAAGCAAAAATAAGTTACAGCAAACTAAAATTATTCTGCAGAACAAAGGATACAATCAACAAAATAAAAAGGCAACTTATGGTTTGGGGGAAAATATTTGTAAACCACATATCTGATAAGAGATTAATATCCAAAATATATAAATAAAGAACTTACACAACTCAATAGCAAAAAAAACTCCAAATAACTAGATTAAAAATTGGGCAAAAGATCTGAATAAACATTTTTCAAAAGAAGACATAAAAATGACCAACAGGTATATATAAAAACATGCTTAAATTACTAGAAAATCTAGAAGAAATGGATAAATTCCTCGACACATACACCCCCCCAAGACTAAACCAGAAAGAAGTTGAATCCCTGAATAGACCAATAACAGGCTCTGAAATTGAGGCAATAATTAATAGCCTACCAACCAAAAAAAGTCCAGGACCAGACCGATTCACAGCCGAACTCTACCAGAGGTACAAGGAGGAGCTGGTACCATTCCTTCTGAAACTATTCCAATCAATAGAAAAAGAGGGAATCCTCCCTAACTCATTTTATGAGGCCAACATCATCCTGATACCAAAGCCTGTCAGAGACATAACAAAAAAAGAGAATGTTAGAGACCAATATCCCTGATGAACATCAGTGCTAAAATCCTCAATAAAATACTGGCAAACCGAATCCAGCAGTACATCAAAAAGCTTATCCACCATAATCAAGCTGGCTTCATCCCTGGGATGCAAGGCTGGTTCAACATATGCAAATCAATAAATGTAATCCAGCATATAAACAGAACCAAAGACAAAAACCATGTGATTATCTCAATAGATGCAGAAAAGTCCTTTGACAAAATTCAACAGCCCTTCATGCTAAAAACTCTCAATAAATTCGGTACTGATGGGACGTATCTCAAAATAATAAGAGCTATTTATGACAAACTCACAGCCAATATCATACTGAATGGGCAAAAACTGGAAGCATTCCCTTTGAAAACTGGCACAAGACAGGGATGCCCTCTCTCACCACTCCTATTCAACATAGTGTTGGAAGTTCTGGCCAGGGCAATCAGGCAGGAGAAAGAAATAAAGGGTATTCAATTAGGAAAAGAGGAAGTCAAATTGTCCCTGTTTGCAGATGACATGATTGGATATTTAGAAAGCCCCATCATCTCAGCCCAAAATCTCCTTAAGCTGATAAGCAACTTCAGCAAAGTCTCAGGATACAAAATCAATGTGCAAAAATCACAAGCATTCTTATACTCCAATAATAGACAAACAGAGAGCCAAATCATGAGTGAACTCCCATTCACAATTTCTTCCAGGAGAATAAAATACCTAGGAATCCAACTTACAAGGGACTAGAAGGACCTCTTCAAGGAGAACTACAAACCACTGCTCAACAAAATAAAAGAGGACACAAACTAATGGAAGAACATTCCATGCTCATGAATAGGTAGAATCAATATCGTGAAAATGGCCACACTGACCAAGGTAATTTATAGATTCAATGCCATCCCCATTAAGCTACCAATGACTTTCTTCACAGAATTGGAAAAAACCACTTTAAAGTTCATATGGAACCAAAAAAGAGCCCGCATTGCCAAGACAATCCTAAGCCAAAAGAACAAAGCTGGAGGCATCATGCTACCTGACTTTGAACTATACAACAAGGCTACGGTAACCAAAACAGCATGGTATTGGTACCAAAACAGAGATACAGACCAATGGAACAGAACAGAGTCCTCAGAAACAACACTACACATCTACAACCATCTGATCTTTGACAAACCTGACAAAAACAAGCAATGGGGAAAGGATTCCCTATTTAATAAATGGTGCTGGGAAAACTGGCTAGCCATATGAGGAAAGCTGAAACTGGACCCCTTCTTTACACCTTATATGAAAATTAATTCAAAATGGATTAAAGACTTAAATGTTAGACCTAAAACCATAAAAACCCTAGAAGAAAACCTAGGCAATACCATTCAGGACATAGGCATGGACAAGGACTTCATGTCTAAAACACCAAAAGCAATGGCAACAAAAGACAAAATTGACTAATGGGATCTAATTAAACTAAAGAGCTTCTGCACAGCAAAAGAAACTACCATCAGACTGAACAGGCAACCTACAGAATGGGAGAAAATTTTTGCAATCTACTCATCTGACAAATGGCTAATATCCAGAATCTACAAAGAACTCAAACAAATTTACAAGAAAAAAACAAACAACCCCATCAAAAAGTGGGCAAAGGATATGAACAGACACTTCTCAAAAGAAGACATTTATGCAGGCAACAGACACATGAGAAAATGTTCATCATCACTGGCCATCAGAGAAATGCAAATCAAAACCACAATGAGATACCAGCTCACACCAGTTAGAATGGTGATCATTAAAAAGTCAGGAAACAACAGGTGCTGGAGAGGATGTGGAGAAGTAGGAACACTTTTACACTGTTGGTGGGACTGTAAACTAGTTCAACCATTGTGGAAGACATTGTGGCGATTCCTCAGGGATCTAGAACTAGAAATACCATTTGACCCAACAATCCCATTACTGGGTATATACCCAAAGGATTATAAATCATCCTGCTATAAAGACACATACACACGTATGTTTATTGCAGCACTATTCACAATAGCAAAGACTTGGAACCAACCCAAATGTCCATCAATGATAGACTGGTTTAGGAAAATGTGGCACATATACACCATAGAATACTATGCAGCCATAAAAAAAGATTTCATGTCCTTTGTAGGGACATGGGTGAAGCTGGAAACCATCATTCTCAGCAAACTATCACAAGGACAGAAAACTAAACACCACATGTTCTCACTCATAGGTGGGAATTGAACAATGAGATCACTTGGACAGAGGAAGGGGAACATCACTCACTAGGGCCTGTCGTGGGGTGGGGGTAGTGGGGAGGGATAGCATTAGGAGATATACCTAATGTAAATGACAAGTTAATGGGTCAGCACACCAACATGGCACATGTATACATAGTAACAAACCTGCACGTTGTGCACATGTACCCTAGAACTTAAAGTATAATTTAAAAAAAAGAAAAAAAACAGACTTGTTGATATTGCTATTCATCAAGGAAATACAAATCAAAACCACAGTGAGATATCACCTCATACCCATTAGGATGGCTATTATAAAAGACAAGTGATAACAAGTGTTTGTGAGGGTATGGAGAAAAAGGAACCTTGTGCACTGTTGGTAGGATTCTAAACTGGTGTAGACATTTTGGAAACAGTAAGAAAGTTCCTCAAAAAATTAAAAATAGAACTACATATGACCCAAAAGTCCCTTTGCTGGGTATATACTCAAAGGAAATAAAATCAGTGCCTCATGGAGACACCTGAGCCACCATAAATGGATAAACAAAATGGTGTGTGTGTTTGTGTGTGTGTCTGTGTACACACACACACAATGGAATATTATTCAGCCTTTTAAATATACATATTAAATATTCAGCCTTTTAAATATATATTATATACATACAGACACACACACACTACACACACATGCACACAATGGAATATTATTCAGCCTTTTAAAGGAAGGAGATCCTGCCATTTGCCACAACATGGATGGTCCTGAGGACATTATGCTAAGCAAAATAAGCCAAACACGGAAAGAAAAGTATTGCATGATCTCATTTATATATACGAAATCTTTTTACAATGTCAAATACACAGAAACAGAGAGCAGATTGGTGGGTACCAGGAGGAGGGTGTAGTAGGTAATGGCAGATGTTGGTCAAAGGCTAAAATGTTGCAGCTGTTTAGGATAAGTTGAGCAATCTAATGTACAATAGGAAGACTACAGCTAATAATATTATACCCACAAAATTTGTTAAGGGAGTAGACTTTTTTGTTTCTTTATTTTTCACTTTTATGGGTGCATAGTAGGTGTTTATATTTATGGAATATATTAGATATTTTGATACAGGCATACAATGTGTAATAATCATATCAGGGTAAATGGGGTATTCATCACATTAAGCATTTATCATTTCTTTGTGCTACAGATTCCAATTCTACTTTTTAAGTTTTATTTTAAAATGTACAGTAAATTATTGTTGACTATAGTTACCCTGTTGTGCTGTCAAATACTAGATCCTATTCATTCTGTTTAACTATATTTTTATACCCATTAAACATGTCCCCTTCCACCCACCTTCACTACTCTTCCCAGCTTCTGGTAACCATCATTCTGCCAAGAGAGTAGGTTTTAGGTGCTCCAACCAAGAAAAAAAAAGATAACTATGTAAGATGATGCATGTGATAACTTGCTTAATTGTTACAGTTATATTATGTACATGGGTAACAAAATATGGTGTATAACTTAAACATATACAATTTTTTAACTCATAAAACAGAAGAAAAATGTTGTACCACTTCTTTCTGGTTTTATAGTTTTGGATGAGAAACTCATTGTCTTTCAAAATGCTTTTC
This sequence comes from Homo sapiens, assembly GCF_000001405.40. Lineage (NCBI taxonomy): Eukaryota > Metazoa > Chordata > Mammalia > Primates > Hominidae > Homo > Homo sapiens. The sequence goes on from NT_187583.1 coordinate 13,470, forward strand.
TCTTCTAAGTAATATGTCCTTTCCGTCTGGCTGCTTTCAAGATTTTTCTGTCTTTATTTTTCAAAAGTTTAATTAGGATGTGTCTTGTTGTGGATTTCCTTGGGTTTATCCTATCTGAGATTTGCTCACCTTCCTGAATCTGTAGCTCTATATATCTTTGACCAATTTGGAATGTTTTCAATCATTACTTCTTTGATTACTTATTGAATACCCCTTTCCTTCTGAGATTCTCAGGATATAAATATTAGCTCTCTTTTACTGTCTCATAGGTTCATGTGTTCTGTTCTTTTTTATTGTTCCAATCTATTTTGTTTATTGTTCAGAACAGGTAAATTCTATTCATCTTTATTCAAGTTCACTGATTTTGTCCTCTGTATCTCTATTCTGCTACTGAGTTCATCCAGCAAGTTTGTTGTTTTTTAATATTTCTATGAGTATGTTTTGCAGTTTTATAATTTCCATTTGGTTCTTATTTGTAACTTCTATTTATTTGCTGAAATTCTCTATTTTTATTTCTTTCAAGAAAATTAATTATTGCTTCTTGAATCATTTTTTATGGCTGCTTTAAATCTTTGTTAGAAAATTTCAATATCCGCTTCATCTTAGTCTTAGTGTTGGCATGTATTGCCTTTTCTCATTCAAGTTGTGTTTTCCTTGGAATGAAAATTGATATTTGACCATATCATGGACATTCTGAATATCATATTATGAGACTCTAAATCTCTGAATCGTGCCCAGTCTTTTTCAGCAGTCATCCTTGTTGAGCTGTAGCTGAAACTTCCAGGTATGTTCCAGTCTGCTGAAAATGGAGAGCTGACTCATACTACTTTCTTCCAGATGGGTGAGGGGAATGTTCAGCTCCCCACTGCTCTGTTGACTTCATCCCAGTGAAGGGCATTGATTTGTATGCCTCCTTACCTTTCAGGTCCTGCTTCCTGTTGGGACCAATTGACCCTAAGGAAAGGTGAGGTGGCTAGCTGGTTCACACTACCTCATTGCAGGGAGGGTTGGAAGCTCAGCTCCTCACTGGACCACCACTCACATTGGAGCAGGAGAGTCATGATGGGGGCTGTAGAATACCAGCTAGCCCTACCTCACACCATCTCATTAAGTCTTGTTGCTGCCAGGTGACAGTGGAGGCTCCTTTCTCCACTGAACCCTGCTGACATTACCCTGGCAGGGGAATCAGAGTCGGGGCAAGGTGAAGATCAGCATGAGATGGAACAGGGACTCCTCTTAGGGATCCATGGGCCCCCTCAAGCATAGAAATAACAGAAAAAAAAATTGAGTTTTTTCAAGGGAAATTTCAGACACCTAGCTAGCTCTGAGAAGTAAATGAGAAACTTGATATGAAAGAAAGTAATAGTGGCGTAAAACAATAGCCAAGGAAGTTAGAATTACGGGATGTTTGGTTCTCCTGTAGAAACTTAAGATAGCATCTTAACAACATATGTCCCTGGGTTGTTTTTCAGAAACCTGGACCCCCACCAGATGAAAAATTCCATCTGCTGGCACATAGACCTCAGATAAGGAGGAAATGAGGACTGAAGTCTGACCACAGCCATGCTTTGCTCTAAATTTCTTCCTGATGGGCATGGGAGGGGTCACACTCCAAGGCCAGAACTAATATTCTTTTCTGCTAATCCCAAAGTTTTAAACAAAGTTTTGCCTCCTGAACCAACTGCAAATCAGAAAATCTTCGAGTCCACCTATGATCTGTTCCCTATCTCCACTTCAAGATCTGCCACCCTTTTAGGTCAAACCAATGTATTGCCTCCATATTCCGATTTATGACTTTGCCTGTCAACTCTGCCTCCCCACCTTTAAAAATCCTTACTTGCAAGCCATTGGAAAGATCGGGACTTGAGCAAGGGCTGCTTGATTCTCCTTGCTTGGCACTCTGCAAATAAATGCTCTCCTTTCTCCTGCTATAAACCTGGTGTAGATGTTTGGCGTTATTGTGCAGGGCAAGTGGATCCCAGTTCAGTTGGAAAACAGGCTCCCTGATTGGCCCCACTGAAACATAATTTTTCCATTGGTTTTTGTCTAGAGTAAGGCAGGAAGTGCCTAAATGTTTTCTTTTCTCTCCAGGCCACCCTTTTCCCAGTTCTTTGACCAGGAGAGAACAGTCTTTTCTTACAGTTGTTTTTTGTTTTTTGCTTTTGTCTGTGTCTGTTGGCAGTCCTAAGTTGGAATTTTCTAAAGGATCCTGTCCTGGGTATGTGGAAGCAATAAGGAAACCTCAAAACTTCATTGCTATGTTGTTTTTCAAGTCCAATAGTTCCTAGGCAGTTAACCCTTTTTATTCCACCTTTGAAAGTCTTCCTACTTGTTTTTGTGCTACATATAGGGATTTTTTGGTAATAAGAGGAAGGGCCTGGAAGAAATGGGGCTACTTCAGCATCAAGGTAATCAAAAATCTATGCCTTCAAACATGTAGAAATATGCAGTTTCTTATGTATTTCATGCCACAAAGTTGGTGTAATACAAATTAGCCTGCCATATCCAGATATAGAAGTCTCTATACTTACTGTGAACAGAAAGGGTTTGCTAGAAAGAAATGTGTCAGAGACAAATGAAAGTTCATGGTGAAGTGTTCTCAAATTGCCCTTCACTCCACAGGAAGTATGTGCCTTAAAAAAAGCCAAAGTATTATGAGAATATTTGTGCCATTGATCTTTTGCTTAACCTTACGTGCCTCAGTTACATCCTTTGTAATACAATAATTTTTAAAAAAACTTTAAAGAGTTATTCCAAGAAATAATTAGGTTAATACTTTACTTGTAAACAGTGATAACAGTGCCCAGAATGTAGTAGACAGTTTAATCCTGTTACTACTATTACTAACATTTGACTTCTAGATCTTTTAGCTCTCCAACCATGCAAATGCATAAAGGAGCAACTATTTAGTAAAGTGTGAATTCAAACCTTTTAGTAAACTAGGCTGAGATTCTAGTTGCTAATCTAGGTTATAAAAGTGTCAAGGAAGTGATGTAGATGTGCTGAGGATGGGTTTGTTGTAAAAGCCTGTCTCTGTTATAGCAGGATCTCACCTAAACATTCAGTCACTTGAATCAGGCAGAAGCATTCAGCTGATCAGTGGCCAGGATTCAAAGTCAGCAGAGTCAGCAGTTCAAGCAGGAACAAATGCTTCATTCAGCCATCCATTAATTCATTAATTTTTTCTTTATCTCTCCATTTTAAATATGCAAGTATGCTTATTAAGTTCTAGAAACTGTTTGAAAATTAGGTACATGGGGAGAAGAAAAGATGTGGTAGATTCTACATGAAACTTTCAACACTGTCAAGAAAGCAAACACTAAATCTGTATCTACACGTGCATTGAGTATTCTCAAGAGAAGAGATAGGGTTCTATGTAATATCATTATTTGAAGTTCTACTAAAATAACAAGCATCATGAGAAAGTATTTTTCTAACAAGCTCTCTCTTCAGAGCCCCCTTAATCTCCTTGTTCCTGAGGCTGTAGATCAGGGGGTTCAACATGGGAATCACCACTGTGTACAACACAGACACCACCTTGTTCTGGTCAGTTGAGTAGCTAAAATTGGGCATCACATAAATGAAGGTAATGGTCCCATAGAACAGGGTAACCACAGTGAGGTGGGAAGTGCAGGTGGAGAAGGCCTTGTGGTGCCCCTCAGTGGAGCGCATCTTCAGGATGGTGATGAGGATATAGATGTAGCAGACGGCTATGACACACACAGTGACCACAATGATGGATCCAGAAGAAAATGAGAGAACAACTGTGGAGACACTGATATCAGAACAGGAGAGTTCAAGTAAGGGAGCGAAATCACAGAAAAAATGATTGACTTGATTTGGTCCACAGAAGAGTAAAAAATAGAAGGAAGTAGTATAGGAGACAGCAATGAGAAAACCAGCTATGTAAACTACTAAGAGTAGCTGGACACTGACTTGTGTGGACATTTTGGTTGAATAAAGCAGTGGACTGCAAATTGCCACAAAGCGGTCATAGGCCATGGCAGCCAGAAGGACGCATTCGACTGTTGCAAAGAAAGCCGCTGAACCAAGCTGGATGGCACATCCAAGGTAGGAGACTGTATTTCTCTCCACCAGGAAGTTTACAAGCATGTTGGGTGTGACAGAAGATGAATAGGCCATGTCAGCAAAAGCCAAGTGGCTCAGAAAGAAATACATAGGATGATGGAGCTGAGAAGAAATTCTGATAAGAATAATTATGCTGAGATTACCAGATAGGATGATCATGAAGAGGATGACTCGAAGGATTGGATCATCTGTTAAGCCCAATAGGATGAACCCCGTCAGAGCGGTGTGATTCCCGTCCTTCAGGGAATTCATGAGACGAAGTAGCTGCTGACTAAATGAACCCTAATGAGAACAGCACATTAAAATGTTATAAATTTGATGGCTTCATCTTCATTAATATATACATGAAGGTTAATATGAACAGATGTATCATTCAAGGAAAGTTCAGACTTTTTTTTTTTTACCTTAGGGTTTCATTGTTTATGTATTTATGTGTAATCAGTCTTTCTATATTTTAAAATCTGTTTTAGAACACCAAAAAATTGCTTCAAATAATGTATATCCTTTTCAATTTGTATTTTTAATGAAATATATTTAAAGTTGCTTTAAAGAGAAAGATTTTAAAACATAAGACTTATAAGAATAATAAAAGGTATGGTACATATAACAAAAATGATTAAAATATATTAATGTAAGATTAATGAACACAAATATTAGCTAACATTTACTGAATGCCTATCAAATTACTGGCTCAGGGTTAAGAATTTTATCTATATGCATATAATATATAACATATTATTGTATTATATACATTATATATACAGAGATACGTATTTTAATTTCCATAAAATAATATGAAGCACTTTTATTATTACCATTTTATAGATAGGGAAACTAAGTTTGCAAATGTTAAGTAATTTACCTAAGGTTACACAGCAAGTGGTAGAATCTGGATCAGAATCCCACATAGTTTGAATCCAGTCAATTTCCATAATAACTATGTTATTAATGTAATTTGTATAAAATTGTATAATTTGTATAAAATTGTAAAACCATTACATTTATAGCATAGTTGGAGAATTTTTACCATGAAATCTGGTACACTTGAAAATCAGTAGATAACAGATTAACATTTCAGTTCTCTGAAATGTACAACTGATGTATAAAAGAGACGCCTAGCTAGTTACATAGTTTACAATGTTTATCAGTTAAACAACACTAGTTTTTTAAAAGAGACATACAATTTTCTTCATAGGACAGGGAAGAAATGGGAATTTCAAGTTATGCTTATGAATGAAGTCACCTAGTATAAATTGATTAATGACTTTTATTATTTCCAATTAAAATATTATTATATCAAGTAAGTTGAAATACCAATTTAACCATTATGCAAAATGTTGTATGATTAATATTCAGAACATAATTAAGATATTTAGTCAAACCAAATCTTTTCCTAGTGTAACAATGTTAACAAATTGAAGTATTATAGAATCAAATAATATTATTTTGGACATAATATACAGAAGAACAAAGTTTCAGCCTAGAAATATAAAAAGTTTACCAAGGGCCACTCTGTTGATGGCCAGCTTGACCCTCATCTCCAAGTTTTCTGGCCTTATAGCCTTATCTTTCTCCGAAATGTCTAGCTGGGCCAGCCATGGTGGCTCACATTTGTAATCCCAATACTTTGGGAGGCCGAGGTGGACAGATCACTGGAGTCCAGAAATTTGAGACCAACCTGTGCAACATGGCAAAACTTCATCTCTAAAAATGAGCCAGGCACGGTGGTGTGCACCTGTAGTCTCAGTTACTTAGGAGGCTGAGGTGGGAGGATCACCTGAGCCTGGGAGGTCAAGGCTGCAGTGAGCCATGATTACACCACTACACTCTAGCCTCAGTGATAGAGTGAGACCCTGTCTCCAAAAAAAAAGTGTCTTGGGCCAGGCATGGTGGCTCACATCTGTAATCCTAGCACTTTGGGAGGCTGAGATGGGTGGATCACTTGAGGTCAAGAGTTCGAGGCCAGCCTGGCCAACACCGTGAAACCCCATCTGTACTAAAAATACGAAAATTAGCTGGCATAGTGGTGCATGCCTATAATCCCGGCTACTCGGGAGCCTGAGGCAGGAGAATCACTTGAACCTGGGAGGCAGAGGTCGCAGTGAGCCAAGATCACAGCACTGCACTCCCAGCCTGGGTGACAAAGTGAGACTCACACTTAATTAATTTATATTAGCATTACAGCTGAGTGCCAAGTTTAGACGGCAGTGAAAGACCACGTGAGTTTCTGTTCTTATGGGTGGATAAATGAAGAATCTTGGTAAATTGAATCATGCCTGTTAACTCACACTAAATTGATGGCAGAAACTTAATTTAATTCACTAAAGTTACTTGCTAGCTGACTGCAAGATTACATCTGTTTTGTTTCTTAATTATGACTTGTGTGTACACATACAACTTTAGAGAATAAAGTGTTCTCAAATGAAACTCATTACACCAGATTCACCCACAAATCGAAAGTCTTACCTCATGAAATAAAAATTTAATCATCTGGCCGGGCGCGGTGGCTCAAGCCTGTAATCTCAGCACTTTTGGAGGCCGAGTCGGGCAGATCACGAGGTCAGGAGTTTGAGACCAGCCTGGCCAACATGGTGAAACCCCATCTCTAAAAATACAAAAATTAGCTAGGCTCAGTGGTGCACGCCAGTAGTCCCAGCTACTTGGGAGGCTGAGGCAAGAGAATCGCTTGAACCCGGGAACTGGAGGTTGCAGTGAGCTGAGATCGCATCACTGCACTCCAGCCTGGGCGACAGGGTGAGACTCCAACTCAAAACAAACAAACAAAAAATGTAATCATCTTACACTTATAAATTTAGATTCCTTGTTATTATATAGTAGCCACACTGTATTATTTTTTGCCTTTGGGGATAAATCTCTGAAGAGTCTAGAGACTCAAATGTGAATTAAAAGCAGCAGGAATCATTATCACATCCTCAAGTGAATATTGAGCAGTTCAACTCACAAAAACACACATAGTCTTTAAGAGGTTGTCAATTCTCAGATGATCAATTTTTTTCATTTTGTCTGAGGGGTGGTGCACTTTCATTTGATAGTTAATGGGAGTATAATATAATGCATTATCTCACAGCCAAATATTGGTTCTAAGTTTACTTTGATACTTCAGGTTAAAGAATACTAAACTGCAAATATAAAACAGTAAACAGTTTCATTCATTCAACAAATGTTCATTTTCTAAGTATTTTGTAGTGTTAGAGAACGTTCAAATAAACACAATTAGGAACAACAAAGGAAATATTACTACTGACCACATAGAAATACAAATAATCATCAGAGACTTCTATGAACACCTCTATGTCCACAAACTAGAAAATCTGGGAAAAAAATGGATAAATTCCTGGACACATACACTCTCCCAAGACTGAATCAGGAAGAAATGGAATATCTGAGCGGACAAATAGCAACCTCAAAATGAAAACAGCCAACTATGAAACCCACAGCCAACATCATACTGAACAGGCAAAAGCTGGAAGCATTGCCCTTGAAAACTGTCACAAATAAGGATGCCCTCTCTCACCACTCCTATTCAACACAGTATCGGAAGTCCTGGCAAGAGCAATGAGGCAAGAGAAATAAATACAGGACATTCAAATAGGAAGAAAGGAAGTCAAACCATTCCTGTTTGCAGATGACATGATTCTGTATCTAGAAAACCCCAACGTCTCAGCCCAAAAGCTCCCTAATTTGATAACTTCAGCATGGTCTCAGGATACAAAATCAACATACAAAAATCACTAGCATTCCTATATGCTAACAACAGCCAAGCTGAGAGCCAAATCAGAAAGGCATTCCCATTCACAAAAAGCATAAAATACCTAGGAATATAGCTAACCAGGGAGGTGAAAGATTTCTACAATGAGAATTACAAAGCACTATTCAAAGAAATCAGAGATGACACAAACAAATGCAAAAACATTCCACGCTCATGGATAGGAAAAAATCAGTATTATTAAATTGGCCATGCTGCACAAAGCAATTTACAGATTCAGTGCTATTCCTATTAAACTACCAATGATAGTCTCCCCAGAACTAGAAAAAAATTAATTCATATGTAATCAAAAAAGAGCCCAAATAGCCAAGGCAATCCTAAGCAAAAAGAACAAAGCTGGAGTCATCACGTTGTAATACTCGAATTCAGACTATACTACAGGACTACAGTAGCCAAAACAGCCTGGAACTGGTACAAAAGTGACACATTGACCAACAGAACAGAATAGACAACCCACAAATAAGGCCACACATACAACCATCTGATCTTTGACAAAGCTGACAAAAACAAGCAATGGGGAAAGGACTGTCTATTCAATAAATGGTGCTGGGATAACTGGCTAATGATATGCAGAAGATTGAAACTGGACCCCTTTCTTACACTACATTAAAAAAAACTTAAGATGAATTAAAGACTTAAATGCAAAACTATAAAAACCCTGGAATATAACCTAGGCAATACCATTCTGGACATAGGAGCTGACAGAGATTTCATGACGGAAATGGCAAAAGCAAATACAACAAGAGCAAAAATTGACAAATGGGATCCAATTAAACTAAAGAGCTTCTGCACAAAAAGAGAAACTATCATCAGAGTAAACAGACAACCTACAGAACGGGAGAAAATATTTGCAAACTATGCATCCAACAAAGGTCTAATATCCAGAATCTATAATAAACTTACACAAACTTACAAGATGAAAACAAAAAGCCCATAAAAATGTGTGCAAAGGACATGAACAGACACTTTTCAAAGGAAGACATACAAGCATATGGAAAAAAAGCTCAATATCATTGATCATTAGAGAAACACAAATCAAACCCACAATGAGATACCATCTCACACCAGTCAGGATGGCAATCATTAAGAATTCAAAAAAACCAGATGCTGGTGAGGTTGCAGAGAAAAGGGAATGCTTATACACTGTTGGTGGGAGTGTAAATTAGTTCAGCCATTGTGGAAAGCAGTGTGGTAATTCCTCAAAGAGGTAAAACAGAACTACCATTTGACCCAGAAATCCCATTTCTGGGTATATACCTTGATATGGTTTGGCTGTGCCCCCACCCAAATCTCATCCTGAATTGTAGCTCCCATAATCTCCATATGTCATGGGAGGGATCTTGTGGGAGGTCATTGAATCACGGAGGCAGGTTTTTTCCATGCAGTTCTTGTGATAGTGAATAAGTCTCACTAGATCTGATCATTTTATAAAGGGCAGCTCCTCTGCACATTTGCTCTTGCCTGCCACCATGTAAGACACGCTTTTGTTCCTCCTTTGCCTTCTGTCATGACTGGGAGGCCTCCCCAGCCATGTGGAACTGTGAGTTTATTAAACTCACAGTTTTCTTTATAAATTACTCAGTCTCGGGTATGTGTTCAGAGCAGTATGAAAATGGACTAACACATACCCAAAGAAATATAAACTATTCTATCATAAAGACACATCCCCATGTGTATTCATTGCAGCACTAGTCATGATAGCAAAGACATGGTGATATGGTTTGACTGTGTCCTCACCCAAATCACATCTTGAATTGTAGCTCCCATAATTCCCATGTTTTGTGAGAGGGTCCCAGTGGGAGATAATTAAATCATGGGGGTGGTTTCCCCTATATTATTCTCATGGTAGTGAATAAGTCTCATAGGATATGATGGTTTTATAAGGGGTTTCCACTTTTGCTTGGTTGTCATTCTCTCTTGCCTGCCACCTTGTAAGACATGACTTTGCTCCTCCTTTGCTTCCACCATGATTGTGAGGCCTCCCCAGTCATGTGGAATTTTGAGTCAATTAAACCTCTTTCCTTTATAAATTACCCAGTCTCAGATATGTCTTTATTAGCAGTGTGAGAACAGACTAATACACATGGAATCAACCTAAATGCCCATCAATCGTAGACTGGATAAAGCAAATGTGGTACATATACACCACGAAATACTATGCAGTTCTAAAAAAGAACAAGATCATGTCCTTTGCAGAAACATGGATGGAGCTGGAGGCCATTATCCTTAGCAAACTAACACAAGAACAGAAAACCAAATGTCGCATGTTCTCACTTATAGGTAGAAGCTAAATGATGAGAACACATGGATGCAAAAAAGGAGAACAACAGACACTGGGGGCTACCTTAAGGTGGAAGGCGGAAGGAGGAAGAGAAGCAGAAAAAAAGCTATTGGGTACCAGGCTTAGTACTGGGGTGACAAAATAATGTGTACAGCAAACCCCTGTGACATGAGTTTACCCATATAACAAACATGCACATGTAGCTGAAGCTAAAATAAAAGTTTTAAAAATATATAAATGGGCCAGTCATGGTGACTCACTCCTGTAATCCCAGCACTTTGGGAGGCCAAGGCAGGTGGATCACTTGAGGTCAGGAGTTCCAGATTAGCCTGGCCAACTTGGTGAAACCCCGTCTCTACTAAAAATACATAAATTGGCTGGGCTTGGTGGCGCACACTTGTAGCTCCAGCTACTCCAGAGGCTGAGGCACGAGAATCTCTTGAACCTGAAAAACAGAAGTTGCAGTGAGCCAAGATCATGCCACTACACTCCAGCCTGAGCAACAGAGCAAGACTTCTGTCTCAAAAAAAAAAAAAAAAAAATATATATATATATATATACACACACATATATGTATATATACACACACACGAATAAACAAATAAATTTACAAAAAAATTGTTAATTCTCAAAAAAATGACCTATGTAGTCCATGAAACTTTTGTAGGGATTGATAAACTACATATAAGATTTACATAGATATGCCTACTAGCTGGAATAAATAAAACCATTTTAGAATGGAAGGAAAATGACTACTAGCTGGAATAAATAAAACCATTTTGGAATGGAAGGAAAAAGTTTTAATATTTGCAAGACATGATTTCAAGACTTTTCATAAGCCTACAGCAGTCAACACTGTTATATTGGTGAAAGGTTAGATATATAGTTCAAAGGAGCAGAAAAAATGATGTAAAAATAGACACAAGTATAAATGATCAATTGATTTCAGATAAATGTTAAAAGAAATTCTAAGAATAGAAAGAGTCTGCAACAAATGTTACTAGAACAACTGCATATACACATGAAAAATATAACACCTACCCTTAACTCACAACATAAAGAAAATTAACTCAAAATGTACCATAGATGTAAATGCAAAAAAATAAAAAAAAATTTCTAGATATAAACATAGGAGAAAATTTTTGCATTTGGGAAATAAGATTTTTTGGCATTACACAAGAACCACAAACCATAAGAGAGGCAAAAAAAATTATACTTTGGTTATGAATTGAATTTTTGTGTCCCCTAAAATTCACATGTTGGAGCCTTAACTTCCAATATGATGGTATATGAAGATGAGGCTTTGGGGAGGTAATTGGGGATATAGGAGGTCATGAGAATGGGGCCCTGGCCTGATGAGATCATAACCCTAAAGAAGAGACCTCAGAAACTGACCATGCTGGCATCCTGTTTCTGTAGAATTATAAGAAAATAAATGTCTATTGTTTAAGCCCCCAGTCTAAGTATTTTTTATGGTAGCCCATGCTGACTGATACATTAGACTTCATCAAAATTTAAAACGTTTGTTCTTCAAGTGACAGCAAACCAACACAGAAAAGGATATAATATTTGCAGTACATATATCTCACATAGGCCTTATGTTCAGAAAAGAGAACAAAAAATTACAAACTTTCGCTGACCATCTGTTTGTTTAAATAAAGTTTTATTGAAATACAACCATGCCCATTTGTTTACATATTATATATGATTGCTTGTGCATTTTAGTGACAGAGATGAGTAGTTATGACAGATTGTTTGGCCAATGAGCCCAGGATATTTCTCTCTGGCCTTTAAGATCTTGCCAACTCTTGAACAAGAATATACAAAGAACTCTTATAAATAAATAAGAAGTAAAACAGCCCAATGTTAAAAACAGATGAAACATTTGAACAGACATTATATATTTAATTAATTTTTTCCTGCTTGCCGTCTGTAAACTACTTTTAAACCCATCTAGTTATTTTATCTTTGCAGTGACTGTATTTTTTCAGCTATAGAGTTTATCCTTTTTTATATAGTTTCTATTTTTCTGATTAGATCTATGTTGGTTTGTTTATGCATTTTTTAAGCCTTTGAACATATTACAATACCTTCTTTGAAATCGTTGTCTCCTAAATCCAACAATTGTTATTTGGAGTGGGTCTCAATTGACCACCATTTTTTATTGACATGGCTTATACTTTACTGCTTCTTTTCATTTTTTTAGAGACTTTTGTTCAAAAATAGGACATTATAGGTAATAATTGTAATGACTCTGAAATCTGTTATATTCTTCTGATGGTTGTTGGTTTTATGTTGTGGTAGATAGCTGTCTTCTCTATACTTATACTATAAAGCATATAGTAGACTCTTTTCCGTTTGTTTTGCAACACGTGATCTATTTGTTCAATTCATTTGGCTTCCAGCTGCTGTTCTTTTAACCTGGCGTGTAGGGGAACTCTTTCATGATTGTGAATTTGTCAATAATTTAATAATTTGGGCAGTTTATTATCAGTTTGGAGAACAGGGTTCAGCCTGTCTGCATTTAGTTCCCTTGCATGTAGGTGCCCATCAAATTTCCAGCTGCTCTTTTTTTCCCAAGCTCTGTCATCTGACCATTCAAGTCATTAATGTTAAATTTTTATCTGATGCCTGGGCTTACAAATTCTATCCGTCAAAAGTGCAACAAAATAGGGGCCAATATGGCTGATTAGAAGCATCTCTTACTCACCTCCTTTAATTAAAATAACCAAAATAGTGAAGAGATAATCACTCTTTGAATAGATCATCCAAGAGAAAACACTGGAATTCAACAGAGAAGTGGTGACAAACACCTAAAGCAAGGGAAAGGCAGGGAGCAAGGCAGTCTGCTTAGCCAAGATCAGTGGGGAACCAGAAAAGACTCCCTAATGCAGGGAAAATGTAAATGAGAGATTTCCAGTGGTCCACATTCCCACCAAGAAATCCTATAATCCTAGCCAATGGAGAGCTGCATGACCCTTGCAGGCCCCGAGAATAACATAGGGAGTCCCTGGAAACCACACAAAGGCATTGCTTCAGAAAGAGAGGTCATGCTGGGTCCCACAAGCCCTGAAGTCCTGGGCACAGCAACAAGATGCCATTTTGAGAGCCCAGCCCACACCAGACTGCATCTTGTCCTGCAACCTGGGCCAATATGGCAGCCACCAGCGCGATTCTGCCCCACCCCTGCAGAGGGCTGCACATTCTCACATATCCTGAGGATGAGTTCTGCTGCCTGCAACTGCTGTAGGTGTAGACTGCTATGGGCTGAGGTACACTAAAAGCCCACACCCCCAGCTGCCTGCCTATGTCTGCCCCCAGGAAAAGCAACTCCACCCTCTACAGTAGCACACCCACTGCCTCCTCCACCTGAGCATTCTGTCAGAGGCCTTGGGCTTACCCTACTACTGCACACCATAGCCAATGTGTTTACACACCAACAAGGGGCCTGAGGACACAGGCAGGCCTGGTTGCCCCCATCCCAAGTACCTGAGCACAGCATCCAGGAACCTGGGACTCTCACAGTCTAGTCCACTACTAGTGGCATCTGAGCTCTTCTCCTAGAGTCTAAAGCTGGACCCACTCAACCTGCCACTGCCACCACAGCTAGCACCTACCTCCATATGCCACGTGTGGGTCTGTTAACACTGTTAACACCAGTGGGGACCACCTGGGTCCCAAAGTGCTGTTTCACCACTGCTACTGCCATTGCCCAAGCAACACCCACTCTTTAGGGGCTCAAGAACCCACCCCACCTCCCAACCCTCCACTGATATTCCCAACAATAGAGCAAGCCACCTGGAGGCCCAAGAATTGGCCTGCCTCGACCCACTAATGCTGGTGCTCTGGGGCCCAAAGACAGGCACACTCAGCCCACCGCTGCTACCACTGGTGTCTGAAGACTGGTCTACCTGGTTGTCCAGTCCCCAGCAAAACTTCAGCAAAACCTTCACTAACAACTACACCTTGAGCCACTGAGGAAATTACAGACGTCATTGACACTGTTTACAGCCAAAGAAATAATACAGAGACTACACTATTAAATGCACCCAGAATCAAAGCTAAAGTGTAATACCCAAGCAGCACCATAGATATATCTTCAGGAAAAAATCCTTCTCTCCAAAGACAAATTTAAAAAAATGTAAAAAGCAACTGTTAAATCAGATGTGCAGGTATCAAAGTAAGGACATAGGAAGAAGAAAAAACAAGGATATATGACACTTCCAAAGCAACACAATAATTCTCCAGCAACAGATCCTAATCAAAAAGAAATTTATGAAATCTCAGAAGAAAGAATTCAAAATTTTGATGCTAAAGAAGCTCAGTGACATATAAGAGAATTCTGGAAAACAATACAAAGAAATCAGAAAGACAATTCAGAACATGAATGAGAAATTTACCAGAGATAGATATAAAACAGAACCAAACAGAAATCCTGGAAGAGAATAATTAATTGAATGAAATACACAATGCATTTGAAAGTTTCAACAATAGGCTAGATACAGTAAGAAAAAAAAATCAGAATGTGAAGACAAGTCTTTTGAAATAATCCAGTGAGCAAAAATAAAAATAAAAAAGAATAAATCCCTTATGACATATGAGATCCCATAAAGTGGCCCAATTTTCAAATTTCACCTAAAGAAAGGTGAAACAAAGGGCACAGAGCCACCTCTCTGTACATACTCAGTAAACTGGTCAAAACCAGTCTATAGCCAGCAGTCATTTAGCAAAAAGGAATGCTTTGTAGACAAGGAGAACTGCAATGCTAGAACCATGAAAACAAAAGGAGTGGTGTCAGGTGGTCAAATTAAATAAGTGGAGGTGTTTTCCTGTCTTTTGTTCTCCCAAGCTGGCTTTTGAGAAAATCTGGTAATAATAAGTAAGGGGAAGCCAAGAGTGGGATATAACCAATCTGTCTCATCATGGCCAGGAACTCAAAGGTTTTGGGGTATTTTAGCCTAGTGGGTTGTATTAGTCCATTCTCACACTAATTTTATGCTAATAAAGACACACCCAAGTCTTGGTAATTTATAAAGGAAAGAAGTTTAATTGACTCACAGTTCAGGCTAGCTGAGGAGGCCTCAGGAAACTTACAACCATGGCAGAAGAAGAAGCAAACACGTTCATCTTCACTTGGCAGCAGCAAGAAGTGCCAAGCAAAAGGGGGGAAAGCCCCTTATAAAACCATAGATCTTGTGAGAACTCACTCACTATCATGAGAACAGCAGCATGGGGTAACCACCCCCAAGATTCAGTTACCTCCCACCAGGCCCCTCCCACATGTGGGGATTATGGGAACTACAATTCAAGATGAGATTTGGGTGGGGATATAGCCAAACCATACCAAGGGTCCATTAGTGTGTCGATGGGGTGGGGGGTTGAACCTTTGTTTCAGTCTTCAAATGGAGTGAAGAACAAAAATTATATAGTCATCTCAATAATGCAGAAAAACGTGAAAAAAATTAACTTCCCTTTATGATTAAAACTCTCAACAAACTACCCATAGAATGAACATACCTCAAAATAATAAGACCTTATATGACAAACTCACAGCTGACATCATACTGAATGGGGAAAAATGGAAAACCATTTCTCTAAGAACTGGAACAAAACAAGGATACCCACATTCAGCTCTACTATTGAACATAGTACTGGAAATCCTAGCCAAAACAATCAGGTGAGAGAAAGAAATAACCATCCAAATTGGAAAAGAGAAAGTCAAATTGCCTCTCTTTGCAAACCACATGATTTTCTATTTTTAAAAACCAAAACATGTCATCAAAAAAACTCTTAGAACTGATGAAACAAATTCAGTAAAGTTGTAGAACAAAAAATCAACATACAAAAAATTAATACCATTTCTATATACCAATAATAAAATTGGAAAAAATAAATCAAGAAGGCAGTTCATTTATAATAGCTATCAAAAATACCTAGAAATAAATCATAAATACTACAATCAAATGGAAAAACATTTTATCCTCAAGGATAGGAAGAATCAATATTGTTAAAATGGCCATACTGTCATAAGCAATTTACAATTCAACGCTATTCCTATCAAACTCCCAATGACATTTTTCACAGAATTAGAAAAAAAAACTATTCTAAAATTTACATGAAACCAAAAAAGAACCCAAATATCTAAAGTAATCCTAAGCAAAAAAGAAAAAAGCTGAAGGCATCACACTATTTGGCTTCAAACTATACTATGAGGCTACAGTAACCAAAACAGCATGGTACTAATTCAAAAACACACACATAGAGCAAAGGGACAGAATAGAGAACCCAGAAATAAAGCCATACACGTATAACCATCTGATTTTTAACAAAGTTGACAAAAACATGCAAAGGAAAAAGGCCTCACTATTCAATAAATGGTGCTGGAATAACTGTCTAACCACATGCAGAAGCCTGAAACTGGGCCCTTTCTTTTCACCATATACAAAAATCAACTGAAGATGGCTTAAAGACTTAAATGTAAAAACTAAAACTATAAAAACCTTGTAGAAAACCTAGGCAATACCATTCTGGACATAGACCCTAGTGAAGATTTCATGATGAAGACACCAAAAGTAATTACCACAAAAGCAAAAATTGACAAACAGGATCTAATTAAACTAAAGAGCTTCTGCACAGCAAATGAAACTATCAACAGAGTAAACAGACAACCTACAGTATGGGAGAAAATATTTGCAAACTATGCATCCAATGAAGGTCTAAAATCCAGCATCTATAAGGAACTTAAACAAATTTACAAGAAGAAACCGACCCCATAAAAAGGTGGGCAAAGGACATGAATAAATACTTCTCAAAAGAAGACATACATGTGGCCAACAAGCAAATAAAAAATGTTAACATCACCAATTATTAGAGAAATGCAAATCAAAACCACAATGAGATACCCATCTCAAATCAGTTAGAATGGCTATTATGAAACATTCAAAAAATAATAGATGCTGCTGAGGCTGTGGAGAAAAGGAATACTAATGCACTGCTGGTAGGAGGGTAAACTTGTTCATCCACTATTAAAAGCAGTTTTTAGATTTCTCAAAGAACTTAAAACAGAACTACCATTCAATTCAGTAATCCCATATACAATTTGATACTTACCCAAAGAAAATAAATAACTCTAGCACAAAGACACATGTATGTGTATGTTCATTGCAGCACTGTTCACAATAGCAAAGACATGGAATCAACCTAAATGCCCAACAATGGTGTATTGGGAGAACCTGCCCCCAATACTTCAAAGTAGGTTCTTTCTATTTTCTGTAAGTGTCAGCTGGATGAGAAATAAAGAGAGACAGTATAAAGAGAGGAATTTTACGGCTGGGCCACCAGGGGTGACATCACATGTCGGTAGGACCATGATGCCCACCTGAGTCTCAGACCAGCAAGTTTTTATTAAGGGTTTCAAAAGGGGAGGGGGTGTAAGAACAGAGTAGGTACAAAGATCACATGCTTCAAAGAGCAAAAAGCAGAACCACTGATAAGGGTCTAACAAAGATCACATGCTTCTGAGAGAACAGGGCAAAGGGCAAAAGCAGAGCCACTGATAAGGGTCCAAGAAAGATCACAGGGCAAAAGGCAAAAGCAGAACAACTGATAAGGGTCCAACAAAGATCACAGGGCAAAGGGCAAAAGCAGAACCACTGATAAGGGTCTATGTTCAGCAGTGCATGTATTGTCTTGATAAACATCTTAAACAACAGAAAACAGGGTTCAGGAGCAGAGAACCGGTCTGACCACAAATTTACCAGGGCTGAGTTTTCCCAACCCTAGTTAGCCTGAGGGTTCTGCAGGAGACCAGGGCTTATCTCTGTCCTTATCTCAACTGCACAAGACAGACATTCCCAGAGCAGCCATTTATAGACCTCCCCCCAGGAACGCATTCTTTTCCCAGGGTATTAATATTAATATTTCTTGCTAGGAAAAGAATTTAGTGATATGTTTCCCACTTGCATGCCTGCTTATAGGCACTCTGCAAGAAGAAAAATATGGCCGTTTTTGCCCAATCCCGCAGGGCAGTCAGACCTTATGGTTGTCTTCCCTTGTTCCATAAAAATCGCTATTATTCTGTTTTTTTTCAAGGTGCACTGATTTCATATTGTTCAAACACACGTCTTACAGTCAATTTGTACAGTTAACACAATTATCACAGTGGTCCTGAGGTGACGCACATCCTCAGCTTACGAAGATAACAGGATTAAGAGATAAAAGACAGGCATAAGAAATTATAAAAGTATTATTTGAGAACTGATAAATGTACATATTAAGATGAAATCTTCACAATTTATGTTCCTCTGCCACAGCTCCAGCTGGCCCCTCTGTTCGGGGTCTCTGACTTCCCATAACATAGATGGACTAAATAAAGAAAATGTGGTACATATACACCATGGAATACTATGCAGCCATTAAAAAACAATATGAATAGGAGTGGTGAGAGAGGGCATCCCTGTCTTGTGCCAGTTTTCAAAGGGAATGCTTCCAGTTTTTGCCATTCAGTATGATATTGGCTGTGGGTTTGTCATAGATAGCTCTTATTATTTTCAAATATGTCCCATCAATACCTAATTTATTGAGAGTTTTTAGCATGAAGCGTTGTTGAATTTTGTCAAAGGCCTTTACTGCATCTACTGAGATAATCATGTGGTTTTTGTCTTTGGCTCTGTTTATATGCTGGATTACATTTATTGATTTGTGTATATTGAACCAGCCTTGCATCCCAGGGATGAAGCCCACTTGATCATGGTGGATAAGCTTTTTAATGTGCTGCTGGATTCGGTTTGCCAGTATTTTATTGAGGAATTTTGCATCAATGTTCATCAAGGATATTGGTCTAAAATTCTCTTTTTTGGTTGTGTCTCTGCCCGGCTTTGGTATCAGAATGATGCTGGCCTCATAAAATGAGTTAGGGAGGATTCCCTCTTTTTCTACTGATTGGAATAGTTCCAGAAGGAATGGTACCAGTTCCTCCTTGTACCTCTGGTAGAATTCGGCTGTGAATCCATTTGGTCCTGGACTCTTTTTGGTTGGTAAGCTATTGATTATTGCCACAATTTCAGATCCTGTTATTGGTCTATTCAGAGGTTCAACTTCTTCCTGGTTTAGTCTTGGGAGAGTGTATGTGTCAAGGAACTTATCCATTTCTTCTAGATTTTCTAGTTTATTTGCGTAGAGGTGTTTGTAGTATTCTCTGATGGTAGTTTGTATTTCTGTGGGATCGGTGGTGATATCCCCTTTATCATTTTTTGTTGCATCTATTTGATTCTTCTCTCTTTTTTTCTTTATTAGTCTTGCTAGTGGTCTATCAATTTTGTTGATCCTTTCAAAAAACCAGCTCCTGGATTCATTAATTTTTTGAAGGGTTTTCTGTGTATCTATTTCCTTCAGTTCTGCTCTGATTTTAGTTATTTCTTGCCTTCTGCTAGCTTTTGAATATGTTTGCTCTTGCTTTTCTAGTTCTTTTAATTGTGATGTTAGGGTGTCAATTTTGGATCTTTCCTGCTTTCTCTTATGGGCATTTAGTGCTATAAATTTCCCTCTACACACTGCTTTGAATGTGTCCCAGAGATTCTGGTATGTTGTGTCTTTGTTCTCGTTGGTTTCAAAGAACATCTTTATTTCTGCCTTCATTTCATTATGTACCAAGTAGTCATTCAGGAGCAGGTTGTTCAGTTTCCATGTAGTTGAGTGGTTTTGAGTGAGATTCTTAATCCTGAGTTCTAGTTTGATTGCACTGTGGCCTGAGAGATAGTTTGTTATAATGTCTGTTCTTTTACATTTGCTGAGGAGAGCTTTACTTCCAAGTATGTGGTCAATTTTGGAATAGGTGTGGTGTGGTGCTGAAAAAAATGTCTATTCTGTTGATTTAGGGTGGAGAGTTCTGTAGATGTCTATTAGGTCTGCTTGGTGCAGAGCTGAGTTCAATTCCTGGATATCCTTGTTAACCTTCTGTCTCGTGGATCTGTCTAATGTTGACAATGGGATGTTAAAGTCTCCCATTATTATTGTGTGGGAGCCTAAGTCTCTTTGTAGGTCTCTAAGGACTTGCTTTCTGAATCTGGGTGCTCCTGTATTGGGTGAATATATATTTAGGATAGTTAGCTCTTCCTGTTGAATTGATCCTTTTACCATCATGTAATGGCCTTCTTTGTCTCTTTTGATCTTTGTTGGTTTAAAGTCTGTTTTATCAGAGACTAGAATTGCAACCCCTGCCTTTTTTTGTTTTCCATTTGCTTGGTAGATGTTCCTCCATCCCTTTATTTTGAGCCTATGTGTGTCTCTGCACGTGAGATGGGTTTCCTGAATACAGCACACTGATGGGTCTTGACTCTTTATCCAATTTGCCAGTCTGTGTCTTTTAACTGGAGCATTTAGTCCATTTACATTTAAAGTTAATAGTGTTATGTGTGAATTTGATCCTGTCATTATGATGTTAGCTGGTTATTTTGCTCGTTAGTTGATGCAGTTTCTTCCTAGTCTCTATGGTCTTTACATTTTGGCATGATTTTGCAGTGGCTGGTACCAGTTGTTCCTTTCCATGTTTAGTGCTTCCTTCAGGAGCTCTTTTAGGGCAGGCCTGGTGGTGACAAAATCTCTCAGCATTTGCTTGTCTGTAAAATATTTTATTTCTGCTTCACTTATGAAGCTTAGTTTGGCTGGATATGAAATTCTGGGTTGAAAATTCTTTTCTTTAAGAATGTTGAATATTGGCCCCCACTCTCTTCTGGCTTGTAGGGTTTCTGCCGAGATATCCGCTGTTAGTCTGATGGGCTTCCCTTTGAGGGTAACCCGACCTTTCTCTCTGGCTGCCCTTAAGATTTTTTCCTTCATTTCAACTTTGGTGAATCTGACAATTATGTGTCTTGGAGTTGCTCTTCTCGAGGAGTATCTTTGTGGCGTTCTCTGTATTTCCTGAATCTGAACGTTGGCCTGCCTTGCTAGATTGGGGAAATTCTCCTGGATAATGTTGGAAGTTCTGGCCAGGGCAATTAGGCAGGAGAAGGAAATAAAGGGTATTCAATTAGGAAAAGAGGAAGTCAAACTGTCCCTGTTTGCAGACGACATGATTGTATATCTAGAAAACCCCATTGTCCCAGCCCAAAATCTCCTTAAGCTGATAAGCAACTTCAGCAATGTCTCAGGATACAAAATCAATGTACAAAAATCACAAGCATTCCTATACACCAACAACAGACAAACAGAGAGCCAAATCATGAGTCAACTCGCATTCACAATTGCTTCAAAGAGAATAAAATACCTAGGAATCCAACTTACTAGGGATATGAAGGACCTCTTCAATGAGAACTAAAAACCACTGTTCAACAAAATAAAAGAGGACATAAACAAATGGAAGAACATTCCATGCTCATGAATAGGTAGAATCAATATTGTGAAAATGGCCATACTGCCCAAGGTAATTTATAGATTCAATGCCATCCCCATCAAACTGCCAATGACTTTCTTCACAGAATTGGAAAAAAACTACTTTAAAGTTCATATGGAACCAAAAAAGAGCCCACATTGCCAAGTCAGTCCTAAGCCAAAAGAACAAAGCTGGAGGCATCATGCTACCTGACTTCAAACTATACTACAAGGCTACAGTCACCAAAACAGCATGGTACTGGTACCAAAACAGAGATATAGATCAATGGAACAGAACGGAGTCCTCAGAAATAACACCACACATCTACAGCCATCTGATCTTTGACAAACCCGATTAAAAACAACAACTGGGGAAAGGATTCCCTATTTAATAAAGGGTGCTGGGAAAACTGGCTAGACATATGTAGAAAGCTGAAACTGGATCCCTTCCTTACACCTTATATAAAAATTGATTCAAAAAGGATTAAAGACTTAAATGTTAGACCTAAAACCATAAAAACCCTAGAAGAAAACCTAGCCAATACCATTCAGGACACAGGTGTGGGCAAGGACTAGAACACCAAAAGCAATGGCAACAAAAGCCAAAATTGACAAATGGGATCTAATTAAACTAAAGAACTTCTGCACGGCAAAAGAAACTACCATCAGAGTGAACAGGCAACCTACAGAATGGGAGAAAATTTTTGCAATCTACCCATCTGACAAAGGGCTAGTATCCAGAATCTACAAAGAACTTAAACAAATTTACAAGAAAAAAAAACAACCGCATCAAAAAGTAGGCAAAAGATAGGAACAGACACTTCTCAAAAGAAGACATTTATGCAGCCAACAGACACATGAAAAAATGCTCATCATCACTGGCCATCAGAGAAATGCAAATCAAAACCACAATAAGATACCATCTCACACCAGTTAGAATGGTGATCATTAAAAAGTCAGGTAACAACAAGTGCTGGAGAGGACGTGGAGAAATAGGAATGCTTTTACACTGTTGGTGGGAGTGTAAACTAGTTCAACCATTGTGGAAGACAGTGTGGTGATTCCTCAAGGATCTAGAAGTAGAAATACCATTTGACCCAGCCATCCCATTACTGGGTATATACCCAAAGGACTGTAAATCATGCTACTATAAAGACACATGCACATGTATGTTTATTGTGGCACTATTCACAATAGCAAAGACTTGGAACCAACCCAAATGTCCATCAATGATAGACTGGATTAAGAAAATGTGGCACATATACACCTGGAATACTATACAGCCATAGAAAACGATGAGTTCATGTCCTTTGCAGGGACATGGATGAGGCTGGAAACCATTATTCTGAGCAAACTATCGCAAGGACAGAAAACCAAACACTGCATGTTCTCACTCATAGGTGGGACTTGAACAATGAGAACACTTGGACAAAGGGCAGGGAACATCATACACAGGGGCCTGTCATGGGAGCGGGAAGGGATGGCATTAGGAGAAATATCTAATGTAAATGACAAGTTAATGGGTGCAGCACACCAACATGGCACATGTATACATAAGTAACAAACCTGCATGTTGTACACATGTACTCTAGAACATAAAGTATAATAAAAAAATTAAAAAATAAAAATAAAAAAAGAAAATACACAGAGGAGATATTAGGTTGGTGCAAAAGTAATTGTGGCATTCTTATAGAATATACAAAATAGCCTCAAAAGGACAAATCTAAGAGTTATTGGCCTTAAACAGGGGGTAGAGAAACAGATAGGGGAAGAAAGTTTATTCAAAGGGATAAGAACAGAGAACTTCCCAAAACTAGAGAAAGCTATCAGCATTCAAGTACAAGAAGATTATAGAACACCAAGCAGATTTAATCCAAAAATGACTACCTTAAGTCATTTAATAATGAAACTACCAAAGGTCAAGGATAAAGAAAGGATTCAAAAAGCATCAACAGAAAAAAAAAATAACTTACAATGGAGTTCTAACATGTCTGGCAGTAGACTTTTCAGTGGAAAAGGCTAGGAGAGAGCAGCATGACATATTTGAAGTGCTGAAGTAAAAAAAAAAAAAAGGTTACCTTGCAATAGCATATCTGGTGAAAACATCTTCAAACACGAAGAAGAAATAAAGACTTTCCCAGCAAACAATAGCTGAGGGATTTCATCAACAGCAGACCTGCACTACAAGAAATGCTAATGGGAGTACTTCAAGCAGAAATAAAAGGACGTACATGAGCACTAAATAATCACCTGAAGGTACTAAACTCACTGGTAGTAACTACACAGAAAAACACAGAATATTATAACACTGTAATCATGGTATGTAACTACTCATACCTTAGTAGAAAAACAAAATGATGAACCAATTAAAAATAATAACTGCAACAACTTTTCAAGACATAGACAATAAAGTATAAATAAAAACAACAAAAAAATTAAAAAGCAGGGGAGATGAAGCTAAACTGTTTATTGGTTTTCTTTTTGTTTATTTGTTTATGAAAACAGTATTAAGTTGTTATGAGCTTAAAATAATGGGTAATTACAAGCCTCATGGCAACCTCAAACCAAAAAACATATTATAGATATACAAAAAAAAGCAAGAGAATAAATTATATCACCAGAGATAATCACCTTCATTATAAGGAAGACAGGAAGACAGAAAAGAAGGAAGAGAGGACCACAAAACAACCAGAAAACAAATAACATAATGGCAAGAGCAAGGCCTTACCTATCAATAATAACATTGAATGTAGTGGACTAAACTCTCCAATCAAAAGGCGTAGGCTGACCAAATGTATGAAAGAACAAGACCCATTGGTCTGTTTCTGCCAAGAAACACACCTTACCTATAAAAACACACATAGACTGAAAACAAAGGGATGGAAAAAGTATTCCATGACAATGGAAACCCAAAAAACACCAGGAGTCACTATATTTATATCAGACAAAATAGATTTCAAAACAAAAACTGTAGGAGACAAAGTGTCACTATATAGTGATAAAGAGGTCAATTCAGAAAGTGGATTATAGCAATATTAAATATACATGCATCCAACACTGGAGCACCCAGATATATAAAGGAAATATTATTAGAGCTAAAAAGAGAAATAGACTCAATACAATAATAGCTGGAGACTTCAATACCCCAATATGCCTGATGAATATTGATGCAAAAATCCTGAACAAAATACTAGCAAATCAAATTCAACAACACATTTTTTAAAAATCATTCATCATGAC
Organism: Homo sapiens; assembly: GCF_000001405.40. NCBI lineage: Eukaryota > Metazoa > Chordata > Mammalia > Primates > Hominidae > Homo > Homo sapiens. The sequence goes on from NT_187583.1 coordinate 38,234, forward strand.
TAAGTAGGATTTGTCACAGGGATGCAAGGATGGTTCAACATACGCAAATCAATCCAATGTGGTACATCATATTAACAAAATGAAGGACAAAAACCATATAATAATTTCAACTGATGCTGAAAAAGCATTTTATAAAATTCAACATCCCTTCATCATAAAAACATTTAAAAAAACTATAGAAGGAGCATACCTCAACATAATAAAATCCATATATGACAGACCCACAACAAGTGTCATACTGAATGGGTAAAAACTGAAAGCCTTTCCTTTAAGACCTAGAACATCACAAAGATGGCCACTTTCACCACTGTTATTCAACATAGTACTGGAAGTTGTAGCTAGAGCAAACAAGAGAAAAATATAAAGGGCATCCAAATCAGAAAGAAAGAAGTCAAATTATCATTATTTGCAGATAATATAATCTTATATTTGGAAAAATCAAATGACTCCACCAAAAAAACTATTAGAGCTGATAAACAATTTCAGTTAAGTTGCACAATACAAGATCAACATTTTAAAAATCAGTAGCATTTCTATATGCCAACAGTGAATAATATAAAAAAGAAATAAAGAACAGAATCCAATTCACAACAGTCACAAATAAAATTAAATAACTAGGAACTAACCAAAGAAGTGACAGATATCTACAAAGAAAACTGTTAAACACTGATGAAATAAATTGAAAAGGACACAAAAAATGGGAAGATATTCCATGCTTGTGGATTAGAAGAATCAATACTGTTAAACGGTCCATACTACTCAAAGCAGTTTACAGATCCAGTGCAATCTCTATCAAAATACCAATGACATTCTTCACAGAAATAGAAAACACAATCCTAAAACTTATATGGAACCAGAAAAGAGCCCAAGTAGCCAAAACTCTCATAGGCAGAAAGGACAAAACTGGAGGAATCACATTACCTGACTTCAAATTATGCTACACGGCTATAGTGAACAAAACAGCATGATACTGGCATAAAAATGGATGCATACACCAATGGAACAGAAAAGAGAACCCATAAACAAATCCACACACCTATAGTAAACTCATTTTTGACAAAGGTGCAAAGAACATACACTGAGGAAGAGAGAACGTACACTGGGGAAAAGACAGTCTCTTCAATAAATCATGCTGGGAAAACTGGATTTCCACATGCAGAAGAATGAAACTGACCCCTGTTTCTCTATATATACAAAAATAAAATCAAAACGGATCAAAGACCTAACTCTAAGACCTCAAATTATTAAACCACTACAAGAAAACATTAGACAAAGTCCCCAGAACATTGGTCTGGACAAAAATTTCTTGAGCAATACCCCACAAGCACAGGCAACCAAAGCAAAAATGGGCAAATGGGATCACCTCAAGTTAAAAAGCTTCTGCACAGCAGATGATACAATAAACAAAGTGAAGAGACAACACACAGAATGGGAGAAAATATTTGCAAACTACCCCTCTGACAAGGGATTAATAACCAGAATACATAAGGAGCTCAAACAACTCTTTAGGAAAATATCCAGTTTTTAAAATGGGCAAAAGATTTGAATAGACATTTCTCAAATGAAGACATACAAATGGCAAACAGACATATGAAAATGTATTCAACATCATTTGTCATCAGAGAAATGCAAATCAAAACTACAATGATATATCATTTCACCCCAGTTAAAATGGCTTTTATCTAAAAGATGCAATAACAAATGCTGGCGAGGATGTGGAGAAAAGGGAAACCTCGTACACAGTTGGTGGGAATGTAAGTGAGTACAAGCACTATGGAGAACAGTGTGGAGGTTCCTCAAGAATAGAATTACCATATGATCCAGCAGTCTCACTGCTGGGTATATACCCCAAAGAAAGAAAATCAGTATATCAAAGATATCTGTACTCCCATGTTTGTTGCAGTAATGTTCACAATAGCCAAGATTTGGAAGCAACCTAACTGTCCATCAACAGATGAATGGATAAAGAAAATGTACATAGACACAATGTAGTACTATTTGGCCGTAAGAAAGAATGAGGCCCTGTCATTTGCAACAATGTTAATGGAACTGCAGAGCATCATGTTAAGTGAAATAATCCAGGTACAGAAAGACAAATATCACATGTTCTCACTTATTTGTGTGATATAAACATCAAAACAATTGAACTAATTGAGATAGAGAGTAGAAGGATGGTTATTAGAGGTTGAGAAAGGCAGTAGAGGGTTGGAGGGGAAGTGAAGATGGTTAATTGGTACAAAAAAATAGAATTAATGAATAAAACCTAGCATTTGCTAGCACAACAGGGCGACTACAATCGATAATATTTTAATCATACATTTTAAAATAACTAAAAGAGTATAATTGGGTTGTTTGTAATACAGAGGACAAGTGTTTGAGCGGATGGATACCCCATTCTCTATCATGTAATTATTACACATTGCATGCCTGTATCAAAACATCTCCTATACCCCATAAATATATACACCTACTGTGTACCCATAAAAATTTAAAAAATTTTAAAAGGAAATAAAACTTTTGCTTTTATTTTGTTTTTCCATCAATATTGTTAAAAAATCTCTAGTATTGATAATTTATTTTTATTTTATTATTTTCTACATAAACGGTCATCTTGTATGATACTTTATTTCTTTTTTTCTATTGTTATGCCTTCTATTTCCTTTTCTTGTTATAGTGCCCTGGCTAGTGTCATCCATACCACGAAGAATAGAAATGCTAACAATGGCATCTCTTTCTCATTCTCAGACATGAAGGAAAAGCTTTCAAAACATGAGTAGTTTTTCCCAGATGAAGTAATTACACTATTTCAATTTTGCTAAGGCTTTTTAAACACAAATTGATGATAAAAATTATCAAAGTCTTTTTTGAATCAGTGGCTGTCATGTTTTTTTTCAAGAAAAAATAATATTTTTATTCTATTCTTTTTTATACTTTAAGTTCTGGGGTACATGTGCAGAACATGCAGTTTTGTTACATAGGTACACATGTGCCATAGTGGTTTGCTGCACCCATCAACCTGTCATCTACATTAGGTGTTTCTCCTGATGCTATCCCTTCCCTGGTCCCCCATCCCCTGACAGGCCCTGGTGTGTGATGTTCTCTTCCCTGTGTCCATGTGTTCTCATTGTTCAACTCCCACTTATGAGTGAGAACATGTGGTGTTTGGTTTTCTGTTCTTGTGTTAGTTTGCTGAGAATGATGGTTTCCAGCCTCATCCATGTCTCTGCAAAGGACATGAACTCATCCTTTTTTATGGCTGCATAGTATTCCATGGTGTATATGTGCCACATTTTCTTAATCCAGTCTATCATTGATGGACATTTGGGTTGGTTCCGTGTCTTTGCTATTGTGAATAGTGCCGCAATAAACATACATGTGCATGTGTCTTTATAGCAGCACGATTTATAGTCCTTTGGGTATATACTCAGTAATGGGATTGCTGGGTCAAATGGTATTTCTACTTCTAGATCCTTGAGGAATCACCACACTGTCTTCCACAATAGTTGAACTAATTTATACTCCCACCAGCAGTGTAAAAGTGTTCCTATTTCTCCACATCCTCTCCAGCATCTGTTGTTTCCTGACTTTTTTTTTTTTTTTTTTTTTTGAGATGGAGTTTTGCTCTGTCCACCAGGCTGCAGTGCAGTGGTGCGATCTCGGCTCACTGCAAGCTCTGCCTCCCAGGTTCACGGCATTCTCCTCCCTCAGCCTCCCGAGTAGCTGGGACTACAGGTGCCCGCAACCACGCCCGGCTAATTTCTTATATTTTTAGTAGAGACGGGGTTTCACCATGTTAGCCAGGATGGTCTCAATCTCCTGACCTCGTGATCTGCCCACCTCAGCCTACCAAAGTGCTGGGATTACAGGTGTGAGCCACTGCACCCAGCCTTCCTGACTTTTTAATGATCACCATTCTAACTGGCATGAGATGGTATCTCATTGTGGTTTGATTTGCATTTCTCTAACGACCAGTGATGATGAGTTTTTTTTCCTACTTTTGTTGGCTGCATAAATATCTTCTTTTGAGAAGTGTCTGTTCATATCCTTCACCCACTTTTTGATGGGGTTGTTTCTTGTAAATTTGTTTAAGTTCTTTGTAAATTCTGGATATTAGTCCTTTGTCAGATGGATAGATTGCAAAAGTTTTCTCCCATTCTGTAGGTTGCCTCTTCACTCTGATGATAGTTTCTTTTGCTATGCAGAAACTCTTTAGTTTAATTAGATCCCATTTGTCATATTTGGCTTTTGTTGCTGTTGCTTTTGGTGTTTTAGCAATCAAGTCTTTGCCCATGCCTATGTCCTGAATGGTATTGCCTAGGTTGTCTTCTAAACAAATTTCTCTCAGAGCCCCATACTTGACACACAGAGGAAGGGGCCTATTTCCCAAATAACATTATTCATGGCTCTTAAGTCCTGCCTATGATTCAGTATGGAATTCTAAACAGTGCATTTGTTCAGAATTCTATGTAAATAGTGTATTGCATTTAAGACCCCCAGTGCCATGTCCTTTGACTTCTTTAAGGATAAATTTTACCATGAGTGAACTTCCTATTTCTCCTAAATTCAGACAAAACTTAAATGTCAGGTGTGTTACATATAACACTAAAATGTTTATGACAAAAATGATTAATTGTAAATTCTATCCATACAGGGGGCCAGTATATTCTATTTTATACTTTATATTTCCTTGAGTGCAGTGATTCTTATTGCTGTAAAAACCTTGCAGGGACCCTGGAACTAAACACTATACTAAACACTATGTAGACTATATTGATTCCAGTTAAGGTCATGAGGCTTCTAAGTAGGCTGGCTCCTCTGCCTGTGCTGCTGCTTGGGATTTCTATGTGAAGACCAATGAGGATTATGCTCACCAAATAGAAATGCCTGGTGTAACTCTACTGGCGTGGTGAATTTTTCAAGTATGATGTTCTAAATAATTGCATACATTTAGTCATTATTTTTGGTTTTCTGTGATTGTACACATTTCAAATAGTCTTTTTATTTTGAAACAAAGCAATATTATAGTCTGTAATTATTCATTTCCATATGTTAACTCTTAGTTTTGTTTCTGTTGCCTGTCGCTTCCACTGGCTTTCATGCTTGGTACCTTGTTTCCTTTTGTGTTGGTCATTATTTTTCACTGTGTGTTGGTTACTGATTTTGAATAATTACCAGTAGGACTCATTGAGGTATGGGTTTGTTGTTTGCTTATTCCGTTCACCCTGACTCAGACCACCTGTCCCTGACCATGTTATATTCAAATTCAAGCACTGAGCTTCTCAAGCTCTCCAGGGCTGCTAACCTGTGCCAGTCTTGGTTACTTCAGGTTTTCCCTTATCCTGAGGATATATGTGAGGTGTATAAATCAGACTTCTCACCTGGATATGCCATAGGCTTTGATTTGTGGCCCTCTCATCCCAAAAGAACACTAAAGCTACAGCTCAGGATAATAACAATCTTCTGACTTGTCAAATTCTCTCTCGGCAAAAGCATTTTTGAGTATTGGGCCTACTTCTCTAGGTTATCACACTTTCTGATAAGACAATCCCTTATTATCCTATAAGTTCTAACGTGAAATTTAAGATATATGTAACATTTTATCATGTTTTAATTGTACTCACCATGGCACTGATTAAAATGACCAATTCTGCCGCTGTTGGAACAGAAACCTCAAAAGTAAATTACATGCGTGTGAGTGAAGATTAGACTCCTGGAGCTGTTACACAGGTAACACCATATTCAACATGAACTGTCCTCACCTTTGGCAGCAGTTGTTCAGATGTTATGTTCCCAGTGAGACCTGCAGTGACTCCTCCCTGCCCCTGGCACATCAACCTTCCACGTACTCTTCCACTTTTTCTTTCTCCATAGCACTCATTCCCTTCTAATAGTAGGTATCACTTACTTGTTAGTTTTATTGTCTGACTCCTATGTTAGAAGACAAATTCCATCACGACAGACATCTGTGGCTATTAGTCACTTATATCCTCGTCTAGGGCAGTGCCTACAAGGATCACCAAATAGGCCGGCGGCAGTGGCTCATGCCTGTAATCCCAGCACTTTGGGAGGGTGAGGTGGGCGGATCATGAGGTCAGGAGATCGAGACCATCCTGGCTAACAAGATGATACCCCATCTCTACTAAAAATACAAAAAATTAGCCGGATGTGGTGGCGGGTTGGCCTGTAGTCCCAGCTACTCTGGAGGCTGAGGCAGGAGAATGGCATGAACCCAGGAGGCAGAGCTTGCAGTGAGCCGAGATCACGCCACTGCACTCCAGCCTGGGTGACAGAACGTGACTCCATCTCAAAAAATATATATAAAATAAAATAAGAATCACCAAATATAGCTTTATTTATTTATTATTATTATTTTTCTTGAGAAGGAGTTTTGCTTTTGTTGCCCAGGCTGCAGTGCAATGGCGCCATCTCGGCTCACTGCAACCTCTGCCTCCTGGGTTCAAGCGATTCTTGTGCCTCAGCCTCCTGAGTAGCTGGGATTACAGGCGCCCATCACCATGCCCGGCTAATTTTTTTTGTATTATTTGTAGAGACAGGGTTTCTCCATGTTGGTCAGGCTGGTCTTGAACTCCTAACCTCAAGTGATCCCACTGCCTTGGCCTCCCAAAGTTCTGGGATTACAGGCATGAGCCACCGTGCCCGGCCTCAAATATAGTTTTTGAATGTACAAAATAAAAAATAAATGAATGAAGTGATTGATACCCTATGATTCTATTGACAGAATGTTGGGATTGTTGTCTGAAACACTAAAGAGGGGACAGGAAAGAGAAATAAATCTGGTAGTGGTCAGCATGCAGAGGTTGATTAAGCCTCTCCAGGGGCAGACATACTTTCAGAGGAGAGGCAGTCTAGTCCCCTTGAGTTTCCTAAGTAAGATGAGGCTCTGACCATGAATGAGTCACTCCAAAAGGTTGTTCCTCACAGCCACAATGTCACACTATAAGCTGGATTCTCCTCTTGGAAGTTATTGCCTGATTTTTTTTTCCACTCAGTCTCTAAGGAGTTCAGAAACCCTGCTCATTCCCACAGAAGTCACCGGTTTTGACCTGACAGAGAAATTCATAGGTTAGTCAGGGGCCTCTAACAGGTTCTTCTCTGGGACCCTATAACCATGCTGGAGACAGAGAATAGAAACGCAGCCCAGATTGTTGTGGGTCTCCCAAGCTCATTGTCAGCAGGCAACCTTTCTGGAAGAAGAATATCTCCAGCAATTTTACTATGGTTCCTTTGTCATTTTCTCTCACAATGTACTCAGTAACAACTATAGATATCAGGCATGTATCTCAGGATAAGCTGATGTTGACAATGGCCACAGTCTGAAGGTTTAAAGGTATGCCTTAACTTATGGCAGAAAACAACTCTTGAAAAAATAAGAATAAAATTTTTAAAGGATTTTCAGCAGATAAAGCATTTTTTTCATGTGAAACTATTTGCATTCTCAATTATAAATTTAATTAAATTTTATTAAAGGTAAAGCAAGATGGACTTCTAATTTCCTATTCTATCTGAAAATCTTCCCTCCTGATTGACTAAAAAGCTCCACACTGGGTAATGGTCTATGGACAGATAAATTTTGACCACAAACACTCGGTGTCTTATTATTATTATATATAGAATATTAATATATCAGATTCTTCAAACTAACTAGTTTCATCAAGAAAATATTTTTATTCTAAGCTCTCTCTTCAGAGCCCCCTTAATCTCCTTGTTCCTGAGGCTGTAGATCAGGGGGTTCAACATGGGAATCACCACGGTGTAGAACACAGACACCACCTTGTTCTGGTCAGTTGAGTAGCTGGACTTGGGCATCACATAAATGAAGGTAATGGTCCCATAGAACAGAGTGACTGCAGTGAGGTGGGAGGTGCAGGTGGAGAAGGCCTTGTGGCGGCCCTTGGTGGAGTGCATCTTCAGGATGGTGATGAGGATATAGATGTAGGATATGGCTATGACACACACAGTGGCCACAATGATAGATCCAGAAGAGATAGCTGGAATTATTTCAAAAGTAAAATCATGGGAACAAGCAAGCTTCAAAAGTGGTGAATAGTCACAGAAAAAGTGATTGACTTTATTTGGCCCACAGAAGGACAGTCTTAATAAGCAGCCAATGAATGTCCAAGCATTCACACATCCACCCAGGTAGGACATGCCCACTAAGATGATGCAGACTCCAGGGGACATGCAGGTAGAGTAGAGCAGGGGTGAGCAGATGGCCACATAGCGATCATAGGCCATGGCAGCCAGCAGGAAGCACTCGGCCGTACCAAACGTCACTACAGAACAGAGCTGGGCCACACAACCAGCAACAGGGAGAGAGGTTTCTTTCCTTAGGAAGCTCATGAGCATGACAGGTGTGACTGATGAGGAGTACCCAATGTCTACAAAGGCCAAATGGCAGAGGAAAATGTACATGGGTGTATGAAGATGATGACTTCTTCTGATCAATACAATTATGCTGATATTACCCATTAAGGTGACAACATAAATTCCTAGAAACACAAGAAATAAAATAGCACAAACTGTAGTATCCTCAGATAACCCCAAAAGAGTAAACTCTACCACAGTGGTGTCATTTCCAGTCCCCATCTATATTGGGAATGGTGCCAACTGAAAGAAAAACAAATGAATATTATAATGGGATTAAATGCTATAATTGCACACTTATTTTTCCAATATCTATTTAACCAAAAAGTATAACAATTTAGGCACTCATGTAAATTTGGGAAGAAAATGCTTTCACACACAGTATCTTATGTAAGACTTTAAAACATAAATGTTCACTGATGTAAGGTCAGGAATACTCAGAAAAATCTTTTTTTTTTTTTAACTTAACACACTCAACTCGTATTGGATGGTTAATTTAGGTGCTCTCTGAGCACATTTCAGAGATGACCACTAGAATATATAAAGAATCCAGTAACTCAATCTTCTAAGGCCAAAGACGTGATTGAAGGGAGACATAAATGTCAGAATAGACCAAGACTCATGGAAAAGAACAGCTGTTCAAAAGGATGTTTGAGGTATCATCTATTGTATCAAAGATGTGTAGTCATTAAGAATTCCGAATTCCAAACAGAGGTCAAACAGATTAGCTGCATGCTAATCCACAGGACCAAGAAGAGGTCAGTAACTCAACACTGAGCTGTGGTCCCCACCCAGAGATTTCACAATTGAGGAAAAGTACACCAAATATCCAGGAAGTCTGGACCGAGGCAGAAGGTGAAGTAATGCACTCACACTATAAACAAGTAAACAGAGGAAGACTGAGGTTTGAAAGAGGAGATGAGATATCTCCTAATTATCTCAGGATCAAGCTATCTGATTCATGATAGTGAGCCAATCTAGAGAAGACATGATCAGGTTACTCCTGGAAGGCTCCAAAGATACAACTTATACCCAAGACTCTGCATAAGCTGGGGCTAGGTTGCTAACAGAAGATTCCAGCCTTCTACAGAACACAAATATCCAGCCCTATCTGAATAGTTGCTGTCTGAAAAAAATTGCATCTGTAGGTCACCTTCTGGAAGGCCCTCCTCCATACCAACTCGCTTGAGAAAAATCAAGAAAATGCAAGAAAAGCAGGAGAGCTTTCTCACAGCTTCAAAAGGTCCTAGAAATAATCCACTCGATTCTCTCACTTTATAAAATTATAAACGGAGATCTAAAAAAGATAGATAATACACACCATTGTCCAACATAACTTTAGATCAAATGGCTTTCTGGAAACTGAGCTAAAATGAAGAACCATATTCTTGGACTTCTAATTCATTTACTATCTTTATTTCACATATTATACATCTTTTCTATGATTTCTAAAGAAGACTATAGACTATCAGAAAGTATATTTGGTTCATTACATATTTAAAAAGGTTTTAAAATTATGCTAACATATAAATAATACATTTACTCTTGAAAGGGGAATTTTGCAGTGCAGTAATTCACATAAAGATGCGGCTGAGAGATAACGACAATTCTTTGAGGCAGGTGATAGTCTCCTTCAGTGCCCAGCACCTAGGGAATTGATATGCTTTTGTTTTCAGCTGAACAGTTGTGAGTGCCTGATAGATGAGGGGTCAAATTTCACTAAGATTTTCTTTTTTCTGAGCAACGAAAGGGACAGATATGGAATGTTAGGGTATATGCAAGGTAGAGAGTAAAATAACCACTACATTTAAGCTAGGCAAAGATGAAGTGAGTACCTGAGATGGGTAAAATCAACAAAATGGTTCTAGCCTTTCTGCAAGGATTGAAAATTTGCTATAATTATTCTACCAGTGAAAACAAGCAGGAAAAACAAGAAATGATGGTAGTTACAGTTTGGGGTGCTTAAAAATGAGATTACGGAAAAGCTACAGTTATTGGCAAATGCTAATGTCTAAACTCTAACAACGGGAGAGACAGGTTTTAGGGAGGAAAACAAATTTTTTTTGAAGATATGTCAAGAAACTAAGAAGCCAAAATGTTGAAAGCAACCTCTATGTGGAGGTATTAAAGCCACCAGGAATAGTGACAGAAATAATGTAAGAAAATGAGTGAGCCAGAGCCAAAAATCTTCCAAAGATGCGGAGACATGATGCTAGCCAGTTGATGACTGCAAATGCATAAGGAGAGAAAGGTAAGATTGGTTAGTATAGTCTGATGACATAAAACTCAACTATGGGTATTTGTAGGTAGGAAGGAGAGAGAATGTCCACAAGCAGCAACAAGGGAAATGGAAGATCCTATCCATCACCAGGTTCGGGGTAAAAGTGGTAAGAGAAAAAAAAGTTCATCATTTGAGAAGGCTGCAGAGAAAACATTGTCCTCAGGGACAGCCAAGTGTCTGTTGAAAAGGACAGTAAGGGAAATGGAATGTTCAAAACCAATACTGAGGACATAAGAAATTTTGTTGATAACTGTGACTGCAGAAGGGCACAGGAAAAAGGCTTCAAGAGTTAAAAAGAGATGGATATGGGACCTCTTGATTCAAGAGAAGGCTTGGATACTTGAAAATAACCTTTCTTAGCTCCAGCTGAATAGAGATGGCATTCTGAGAGAGAGAGTACAGAAGATAATACACACAATTGTCTAACATACATTAGTTGCTACAATTTAATTGCTGAATAGCAGAAGGGAGGGTGAAAGCTAATCCCAAAGTTGTGAAGATTGTGAGGAAGGGGTAATAGGTAAACAACTCAGCTGACCTGGAGTGACTTAACAGTTTTGAGGCAATCCCAGTATCTCACCCAAGGAAAAGTCATCCCTATTGAAGAATTTAAAACCAATGAGAAACACTAGTAGGTAAAATCAAAGGGTCAAAAATCCTGGAGTTAAAAAAACAAAAAAACTGGATTCTGGTGATAGTCATTTCTGAGATTACTGCAGTGGTGACTTCACGTAGATCCAAAACTGCCATTGCTAGTCATGGTTACTTTTATGGAGTATGCATCTGGAATATTACATATGGTCTGTCAAGACTTTCATCTCTACCTATGCTGTTATTTCATATAGGGTTTCAAAAAATTGGCTAGAAATAGAGAACATCTTACTAGGACAGGGAAGAATGAAGATGAACAGATATTATACAAAATGTTTAAACTGAACGTGGAGATATAAGAAAGAAAATTTCCAAAATGAGAAGTTGATTTTTATGAAGGAGAGAAAAATTACCATAAAAATAAAATGTATGCTTCATCATAAATATGAAAAAATATTTGAAAATATATATTTGTGTCTGTATTTGTAGGGTCTCATGACTTTATGAAAAAGCAACCTTTTTGGGTAATAGAAGTTGGGATTACAGCATAGAAAGACCAATATGCACCAAAGGGCATCAGCAAGATGGGGAAGAATGTTGCAGTGGCTGCTACAAAAATAGGGTTGCTGATACAGAAATTCCATGTTGATTGGTTGGGAATATGAGTAAAGAGAAACAGAAGATACAGAGTTTTAAAGTGAATGAAGGAACATAAGCAATTTATCTTGGGCAAGAAATGGCTCCTGAAGGAAATTAACTTTTATCTTATTTTTTTTTTTACTACTCCAGTGCTTTTTAGAAGTCTGAGGATACACAAAATAACTGCTCAATACATGGGAGAATCATCAAGCAGTCACAATTGTGCCCAGTTGGAATGGGCTGCAAATTGGTGACAGCACTATGAAAGAGATTCAGGAATTACAGGTCTACCTGAGCTAATGTGATGCTGTGACATTTTAAAATGATATTCTAGGATTCAGCATAGTAAATTAATCCACTATAGTCTATACTCTACACATCCATATGAAGATAATGCGTGAACTTTCTCAATAGATTGCTTTCACTCTGGAGTCTGCAAACACTTTGCTCTTTGCTTCTATGTATCTTAAGTATCCAATTGATGCCTCTATTAGAATTAAGAAAAAAGAGAAGCAAAAGTGTTTTTTTAAAAAAGTAGAGAGGAATGAATGAAAGGCAGAGGAATATGAAAGGCAGACCATACAGAGGGAGCCAAAAGAGGTGCTATAGCTGATAAGATAAAAGAGGGAATTTTTATTTCACATGTCAACAATTTAATTCCATTTTTATCAATGATATCTTCTTCTATGGAAGAAAATTAAGATAATTCAATGTTTTCCTACATCATTTAATATAAGGTTTATTTACTCTTGGAAACTTCCATTCTTTATTGCTCCTCAACAATAGCAACCACAAAAATTCCCATAATTCTCTCTTTAAAGATCAACCAAAATTAAGGAATAATGTATTTTTCTTTAAAGAATTTGCTCTCAAGCAGACTGAACGCTCTTGCACACATGCACTGCTGTCTCTTTCTCTCTCTCACACACACACCACATGCATACACACACACACACTGGCATCAAAGTCATGTGCTCATCCAGCCACATTATTTTCACACTTTTATTCTGAACTGAGATGCTTGAATAATTTCACGTCTGAATTAACTGATCAATATCATGCTATGTTAAGAACACCATGCAATTACATGTTTGAACTCTGAAGTCCTATCTTCCTTATCTTTGTACAGGGCTTTATTAAGTGGCATGGACCCAAGAATGAATGAATGCTTAAAATTTTAGAAAAGATAGATGTGTATAATAGAAATTCAGAGTCAGTTATACATGCTATTATGGCATGGAAGCAATGTGTTGGACAGAAATGCCATGAGCTTTGGAGACATACGGCCCTGGGATTAGATTCAGCTTTGTCACCAGCAATCTATGGAATCTTGGAAATTTTACATAAACTGTTCAACTCTTCATTACGTTATTTGTTTAAAAAAATACTTCACATGATTCTTGTGTTGAATAAGATGATGTACATGATAATACCAAGTATGGATCATAGAAATAAGTGAATGTTCAACAAATGATTATTTCCTTTAAAAAACTATACCTTAACTTCTAATACAAAAATGAGAAACAAACATTCCTGTATCAATAGAAAAGGGAAATTATTACCTGCAGATGAATGTACATCAGCAATAATAACAAATTGCAAAGAACTGTCACTGTATAGGAAGGTGATATTTATGAGATTTGGGGTCCTTTGGGATATAGCCTCTTGAGTACACTACTTGTTTATAAAAATTTCACTGAAAATTCATCAAGACAATGGAAATTACAGGTACATATGCTCATAAAAATATGTGTTGCTGCTGGGCATGGTGGCTCACACTTGTAATCCCAGCACTTTGGAAGGCCAAGGTGGGAGAATTGTTTGAGGCCAAGAGTTCAGACAAGTTTGGGCAACATAACAAGACCCCATCTCTACAAAAAAAAAATATAAATAAATAAAAGTAAAATTAGCCAGGTGTCATGGCTCATGCCTGTAGTCTCAACTACTCAGGAGGCAGAAATGGGAAGATTGATTGAAGTCAGGAGTTTGAGGCTGCAGTGAGCTAGAATTGCACCACTGTACTCCAGCCTGGGCAACTAAGCAAGACCTCAACTGAAAAAAAAAAGTCTAAAAACATCTGTAAATTTATTTATTTTTAGTATGCATTAGAATTTTTAAATAAAACTTTTTGATGAACTGCTAAATCCCCTGTAACTATATTGAGATTTATAGGAATAAGCAAGAGTACAGTGTACCAGAGTAATTTCTCTTCAAAATAAAAATTCTTCTGGGAAAAAATAAATGTTTATGTTTTCTGTATGTTTCTAGATGATACTACCTTTATTTTTTAATTAAACTTTTTACTTTGAGATTATTGTAGATTTACATGCAGTTTTAAGAAATGAAATTAATACAGAGAGATCTTATATGCCCTCTACCCAATTTCTTCCAATGAACGCATTTTGAAAAACTGTAGTGTAATATCACAACGAGGATACTGGCAGTGATACAGTCAAGATACAGAACATTTCCATGAGCACAATAACCCCTCACATTACTCTTTCATAGCCACAACAACTTCTGTCCCATCCCCATCCCTTCCTTAACTTCAGGAATCCTCTAATATGTTCTCTGTTTCTACATTTTTATAATTTCAAGTATTTTATTATTATGTAACATCCCTTTCTGCCTCTAGTAATTTTCTTTGCTCTGAAGTCTACGTTATTCAATATTAATATAGCTACTGCTTTTCTTTTGATTAATATTTACATGCTATGTCTTTTTCATTATTTTACTTTCTTTTTTGGATTTTGTTTTGGTTTTTTTGAGATGGAGTCTTGCTCTGTCACCCAGGCTGGAGTGCAGTGGCACAATCTCGGCTCACTGCAAACTCCACCTCTCGAGTTCAAGAGATTCTTTTGCCTCAGCCTCCCGAGTAGCTGGGATTACAGGCGCCTGCCACCACGCCCAGCTAATTTTTGTATTTTTAGTAGAGATGGGGTATCACCACATTGGCCAGGCTGGTCTCAAACTCCTGGCCTCGTGATCCAACCACCACAGCCTCCCAAAGTGCTGGGATTACAAGTGTGAGCCATCACACCTGACCCATTATTTTACTTTCAATTTGCCTCTATTATTATATTTGAAGTGACTTTCTTGTAGACAGCATAGAGCTGGGTCATGTGTTTTAGTTCACTTTGCTGGGTGAGGGCTCAAACAGAAACAAGGAACATGCTGTTTTGAAACTGGAGAAAAAGTTATCCTTGTTAGATAGTGACAGAAAGTCTAGCTTAATTTTGACCTACAGTTACATGGAAAGCAGAACTTGTAAGTGATGAACTTGGATGTTTAGATAAGCAGATTTACAAAGTTTTGAAGGTACAGCCTATTGTTGTTTACTCAATGTATTAAAATGTGAGAACAAATTACTTAAAGGTGAAGGACCCTCTTGTCTAATGATGTGAATAGTCATAACATACATGGGAGAACCAGGTTTTCAAAAATGATATAGTTTCAGAAACACCACCAGCTTGTGCTAAAGGGACAGAGACAGAACAAAATGAAAGAAGGCTGTAAGACTCATAAAATTCTACAAGCAGGAAAAGGCTGATAAAACTAATCAGCTACAAATATGTGCTACCTATCAAGAAAAAGAAAGGATAACTTCAAGAACAAACCCTTTGGCCCAAAAGCTGGAGCCTTGGGTCTAGGATTTAGAGCCATGGTGCAGAGGTTGGAGCAGTGCACACAGAAAATATTAGTCTCAGACCCAGAGCATGGAGCATTGAGTCACTAAGTGTTATTCATAGGCCTTGAAATGCCGTGTTTGCCCTGATGAACTTCAGAATTGCTTGGGTCTGATGACCTTTTCCCTCCTTCCACTTCCCCCCTTTTAGAATGTAAATGTCTATTACTGTTACATCATGATGCCTGTATCATCATTATATTTGGGGAACAGATATCTTGTCTTCTTGTTTCACAGGTCCACAGATGGAGAGAAATTTTGCCCCAGGATGGATCATACACAGTATCCTACCTATATCTGATTTAGGTAATTTAGATAATGAGATTTAGGACTTTCAAGCTGATGATATTTAGATGATATTTTGGGCTTTAGTTGATGCTGTGTTGGGTTGAGGCTTTTGAGGATTTGGAGGTGGGATGAACACATTTTACCGTGGAATGAACATAAATCACTGGGGGCCAGAGAGAAGACTGTAGCAGACTGAATAATGGCCCCCAAAGATATCAGGCCCCAATCCATGGAATCTATAAATGTTACCTTACTTTAAAAATGGCCTTTGCATATGTGATTAAGAATCTTAAAATGGAGTAATGGAGTGATTATCCTAGATTGTCTGGGTGGGCCCTAAAAGCAATCACAAGTATCATTATAAGAGAGAGACAGAGGGAGAATGTGACACAAACAGAGAAGGAGAAGGCAATGTGACCAAAGAGAAAGAGATTGGAGTGGTTTGGCCACAGCAAAGGAATGCCAGAAGCCAGCAGAAGCTGGAAGACACAGGAAATGGATTCCACCTTGGAGCCTCCAGAGGGAGTATGGCTCTGTTGCCACCTTGATTTTTGCCCAGTGATACTTATTTTAGACTTCTGGCCTCCAGAACTGTGAAATAATAAGTTTCTGTTATTTTAAGCTTCCAAATTCATAGTAATTTGTTACAATAGCCACAGGAAACTAATACACATGATAACAAATGATCACTCTCTCCAGAGGTCCCAGGGTATTTGTCAAATGAATTCATTTATTCATTCATTCCAAAATATGCACTGAATACTACTATATCCCAAGCTTCCTTGGGATGTAGTGATAAACAAATCAGAAAAAAAATCACTGAACTCATAGAACTTACATTCTAGTATTCTAGTGTTGGGAGATAACAATAAATCATATATATGAATGAAATAAGGAAGTAAACCATGTAAAGGTTTAGGGGGAAAGCTTTTCAAGGAGGTTTTACTCCCTTTAAATTTGAGTAATGCAAAATCCACGAGAAGAATAAGCCACTGAGGCTAGATCACAGTAAGCCAACATTCAAATGATTGTATGTATCTGGTACTAGCAAATTACAGGGGGAAAAGGTACTTTTATACATTATGAAAAATATATGAATTTTCTAAAAACTTTTGGAAAATATCGTGGCAAATTTTATTTAAAATTTCAAGTGCTGTACTCCAAAATTTCACTTTGAGGAATTAATCCTAGAGGTAATAATAACCTGAAAAAATACATATACAAAAAGATGTTCATCACATGATTGCTTAAACAGCAGAAAAATTGCAGTGTCTAGTGTGCATCAACAAAAGAATTGTTGAAAAAATGATGGCACCTTCATCCTATGGATTACTATGTGGACATTAAAAAGATAAAATGTCCCCATATGTTCAGCTTCTGAAACAAGCCCATGATATACTCTTACATTTCCAAAGTCTCTAATATGTTTTTATAACTTATTCTTAACGTTTCATAATCATATTTTCTTATTTTTATATAGCACTTTCTCCTGAATCATTAAAAAGATTATATTTATTTTAATGTGAATTTTATCATGATAGCTTTACAAACTCTCTTTACTTGGATTTATGTTCTGTTGCCTTTTTTCTTTTCTTTACTTCTGGTTTTTGTTTTTATTTTGCTGTTGTCTTTTGAATTTGTCTCTCTTATTTTGTGATTCTAGTAATCCTAAAAGATTTGGGGGGCGGGTTACTATAAGTGCATTTTTATAATGGGGATTTTCTGCTGAACTGCCCACTGATTCTTACATGGGAAAGGTGCAAAGACAGTGGTACTGCTCCCTGTTTCGTTAGGCAGGGAAATAGGTAAGATGAACAGCTAGGAAAGGTACCTCAGCCACCTGTCTTCTGGGTTTTACTACCATACCTCGACTCTGCCCAAAGCACTGTTTCTGCTTAGAGACAGACACCTCGATCACTGCTGCCTCTTCCTTTGGAAGAGGTATTGGAATAGAAACAGGAATAAACTAGCCTGGCTTCTCTCCCTACTTATATCCTTGTGCATAGTCTGGAGCTCCTCTGTGTTTTACTCCTTTTTGAAAGGAATATTCCTGGTGTTTTAGTAAACCCTCCATGTGATTCTGATCCACACCAAAGTTTAAGAATCACGACCTCAGTGTTCTCAATCTTGGCTGAATATCAGAACAACATGGAAAAATTAAAAGAATACTGCCTGAACCCTTTCCCAAAGATTCTGTTTTAATTGGTATAGGGTATGGCCCGTGCACTGGGATTTATAAAGACTCCTCAGGTGATTTTGATATCCAGGTAACTTTGTGATCCACTGCTCTTATCGTTTCCAAATGCATGGATGAAATATCACTGTATGCAGAGTCCCGTCTGTTCTGTCTAGATGTTTAGATGAGCCGGTTAGTAGAAATTCATTCTGGAGTCAAGATCATTGACCAACCTTACTATTCACAGAGCTAATGAGATATGTGCATCCATTTTCATGAGTATTTCAGAGGGAAGACTGGGAGGATCCTGAAACATGTATTGTCACTTTCTATTATTGTAACCCAAAGTCTTGAAGTAATACCTTACTTGGACCACAAAGTATTTTAATTATTCATTCATTCATTCATTTGGCAGATATTTATTGAACATTAACAGTGTTTCAAACTCTCTTCTAGGCACTCAGGATAAAATAATGAACTAGGCAGACAAGGTTCCTGCCCTCATGGAGCTTATATTTTAGTAGGTAAGGCAGATAGTAAACTATAAACAAATGCATGATAACATAATGACCAATTATAAGTGCTACAGAAGAAATAAACAGGAATTTTTTTATAAGTTAACTTTCTGTAATGGCATTCTAAATTCACTCAGAAGCCCAAGCCTTCCCATGACAGATCATATATATCTAAATCTATATCTATATACATATAATATGTGTATGTGTGTTTGCTTAAAGTATATCAAAAAGACTCTCTGGTCCTCAAAGTAAAATGAACACAGAGAAGTTAAAAAAATCTACCTGAAATCACACAGAAAATGCTGAGACTGGGATTTGAATGTTAGCGCTGTAGTCTGGTTCTGAAGCCTGTATTTATAACTCCCTCACAACCTTTTTTTTTTTTTTTTTGAGACGGAGTCTTGCCCTGTCTCTCAGGCCGGAGTACAATGGCGCGATCTCTGCTCACTGCAACTTCCACCTCCCGGTTTCAAACGATTCTCCTGCCTCAGCCTCCCGAGTAACAAGGATTACAGGTGCCCATCACCACACCCAGCTAATTTTTGTGTTTTTAGTAGAGACAGGGTTTCACCATGTTGGCCAGGCTGGTCTCAAACTCCTGGCCTCATGATCCGCCCGCCTCGGCCTCCCAAAGTGCTGGGATTACAGGCGTGAGCCCCAGCACCCAGCCTCCCTCACCACTTCTTAGTCAACTGTACCTTGGGATAAAATATTAATATGAAATATCCTTTTTTGTCCCTTTTAACAGTTTTTACCTTGAAATCTATTTTGTACTCTCTTATGTTGTTATGCTTTCTTTATTCTGTTATAATTTTTCCTGGTAATATCTTTTGAGAGGAATTTATTTTCAATCTTCCTCTTCCAAGTTCAAACCAACCTACCGAATTGCCTTTTCCATTTTTCCATCATGGATGGGTCTTTTGCTCCATTTTTTTACCTCATAGGTAGTTGAGAAGATATAAACCCTCTTTCTATTATTCTAATATTATCTTAAGACAAAGGGTGATCAAGTTAACATAATTCTGAGAAAGATTTTATATATATATAAAATCTGTTTATATATATATAATCTGTTTATATATATAAAATCTGTTTGTTTATATATATATAAAATCTGTATATATATATATATATATATATATATATATATATATATATATATATATAATCTATTCCACAATCATTCTTTCTGATAAGGAATGGAAAAGAAGGTATTTGCCAGATCAATTGCCCCATACCACGTATTTGAGGCTGTAATAATCTCTAAGCAAAGATACCACACATGTAGCACAGCAGCTGCATTTGGGGTTAATGCTTTGTTGAATTTGTAGGATCTTTCCGGTTTTTGTAGGAACTACACTGGTGAATTAAACGAAACCTTTAAGAACCTAATGATACCACCACCCTAGTATCATTAGGTTCTTAAAGATGGCATTGATATCTGCCATTTCCCTTTGAGATTAGATTTTTATTTTTTAGTAATTTGGCCAGGAAATGGGCAGTTTCAGAGGCTTCCACTCAGGCTTCACTACTATGATGGCTCTTAAAGCTAATAAATCAATGTGGATATTCTGCCCATTACTACTATTCTACCATTTTGTTCATTCCATATACCTTTTGAGAACAAAGAAATAGCACTGGATGGGTCCATGCATTCATGGACATACATAGGCCCTGGATCCCATTTATTATCTGGCCCTCCTATACCCTAAAAGTGGCCACGATGAAGCTTTAGGTCATAGGTGTCAATGTCAATTCAAATTTCGCATGTTATAAGCCTTGATAAGTTTGGATATTTCTGTTTCCCCAGGATTTAGTTACTCCAGTAATGACCATAGTTCTCTTTGAGGAAAGGCTATATATATATAACTCCACTGGCCAAAGGCAAAAATATATATATAACTGCACTTTCAGGGTCCTTGATCATAGGTCCTGGCCTCTTCTTCAGTCAGAGGGCTCTGAGTCTGAAAACTGGTTCAGGTGTGGAAACTGGGCAAGAGATCACCTGTTTTTGTTTGAGCAGCTATAATCACCCCCCTCTAATCTCTATCCTTGATTTCTTTTAATTGTGTAGATTGAGCATGTTGTTGTTGTCTACCCATTTGTCTTATCTCAGAAACATCATTTACTTTTATTCTGATGCCATATCATCTCCATTTCTATCAAAGGTTCACTTCTGTAATGACATCATTACAATCAGCCCTATCCTACAGAGGATAGCCACCACTGAGCTTCTCAGTGACATTGGTGTCCTTCTCACCAGCATATTCCTTTTGTTTAGTAAACAGAATGTCCTCTGGGACCTTATATGGAGCCTAGTTATCTGGTGGACTTTTCATTTTCACGTATTTATTCTAGCAAGTGCTCTTCTCTAAGCTTTTCTATCCCTCCTTCTACTGTCTTCCACAGCAGTTCTGACATTTCTACTTAGTGTGCGTCACCAATTTCTGCAAGTTTCTAAAAGCCATCGTAGCAGCTTCTTTGCATCATATGCTGTGATCTTTACCAAGATATTAAATCCTATAGTAAGGGAGAGGGCTCCAACACTGATAAATTATCTCTTATCCAATTTGATGTCTGACCCTTTGATTCAGCATGTACTCTTTTCAGCTCCTGATTCTACATGTTGACTAGGTCCTACAGCTCCCATAGCAGACTCAGCCTTTTCCCTGTTAGGTTATGTTATGATTTACCCTTAGTTATAATCAAGTGGTTAAGAAAAGGTAGGGACAGAGTTTAAGGAGAACATATGTTGTTTTGCAAGATAGCATCCTCTGTTTTATCTTTATCTACGGGTGGAACACAAACATTTAACAGGGAAGAATCCAGAGGGTTTAGAAGAATCTAGTGATTCAAGATTTTTAAATGCATCAACACAGATACCCCTATTCCATGACTCAGTGTCTCATTCTTTCCTAATTAAGATCTTGAACTTAGTAGTCAAGCTGCAGTGGCTTAAAATTCTAACATAATGTCTACTTCTCTCATAATCAAGTCTTAAGCCTGATTCCTAGCCTTTTACGTTACAGGCTACAGGAGATGCTAGACTCCAAATGCTATAAGGAGGGACTGTGGCTCTCAAATTTAACTTTTAGTTGGTAATTAATCAACTTCAGCCTTTCAAAGTCTTTCTCAAAACCCTCTACTGTTTCTACAACAGACATCCAATTCCATTGCCCTTATAATTACTATTTCCCTTTTATGTCTCAAATACTTAATACATTTAATCTGCCAGTGCCTTCTTTTCTACTAGTATGTCATCCCTATTTACCACCGGATAAAGTGTTAATAATTATAGCACTAAGGGCTGCTCAAACTCCACTTACCACCAGTGATGGAGTCCTCATTTCCAGCCAGCTGGTGGGTGATCCAGCTCCAAACTCCAATTTTATATTATATTTTTTACTACCTGTTATGAGCTGAATGTGTCCCTTCAAAAAATCACACGTTGAAGCTCTAACCCCCAATGTGATGGAATTTGAAAGTGAGGCCTTTGGGAAGTAATTTTGTTTCTATTAGATCATGATGGTAGGATCCTGGTGATTTGATGGTATTAGCGCCCTTATAAGAAGGAAACTGATCTCTCTCTCTCTCTCTCTCTCTCTCTCTATCTCTCTCTCTCTCAAGCTTGCACCAAAGAAAAGCCCTAGGAGGACATAGTAAGAAGGTGACTGCCTACGAGCCAGGAAGTGAGCCTTCCTGAGACACCAAATCTGCCAGTATCTTGACTTTGGACTTCACAGTCTCCAGAACTGTGAACTGTGAATAATAACAGATTAACAGGTTAATCTATCCAGTCTACGGTATTTTGTTATAGCTGAGAAGCAGTCTGAGATAGAGATTTGTATATAAGATATTTATTAGGAAGTGTTCTCAGCATTCACTCCTGTAAACACTGAAGCAGAATTAGGTAGAGAGAGAAGCTGGCCTACAGTGCAATCACAGCAACGGCTTCAGCAGATCTCACAGGGAACACAGTCACTGGGATGGCCCTGCAAGTGGTTTCCAACTTAAGCAATGTGTTTGGGCCTTTATGCCAGTGCATCGACTAGCCTCAAATTGGAGCAAGGGGGAATGACCTACTTCACCCAAAGACAATTGCCAGAAGAGCAATGGGGAAAATGGTTCAATCCCAGAATGCTGTGGACAGCATACCACAGCATCCATCTTAGATGTAAAATGGTACCTCATTTCTCTGGTTCTTCCCAAGATAATGTAGCTTTTCATACGCTTATTGACCACTTTGTGGGTTGAATACCGAGGTTACACATTGCCTCATGAAATGATTAGCAAACTTTGTCTCTTTCTCTATTCTTGTAACTAATTATTAAAAGAGAAACACTAACTGTGCCTCAAATTTTTAGTAAAATCAGCTGGTTAACAGTGTGGGGTTTTCTTGGGGGGAGGGCGCTGACATAGTTTTGTGGGGGTTAATGAAACGGTTCTGATTCTAGGATTCTGAGCCACTCACTGCTCCAGCTGTAACAGATGCCTCTGTTGCTCACTGCTTTGCACTAGCAGGAACAGAAAGAATGTCTGTATCCCGTCACTGCTTCTATTAGAGCACAAACCACTGCACCAACCACATTTTAGGCAGTCCGTCCTGTTTCCCAAGGCTACCACCTTGCAGAAATCCTCTTACAGATACATTTTGGCTAAAGTTTCTTCTCAGGAAATTTTCTCCTGCTTTCATTTTTCAGGGATTCTTTTATAATTTTTGGTTCTCCAATGGTGCTTTGGCATTTGGAGGAACAGTAGAGAAAGGGGTAAATAGGTTTTGAGAACCAAACAAACAGGTCCTGACAAAATTACATTATGGAGCAACAAAGAAAAATAGAAATTGCAACGTTGCTTTATTTTCTATAGTTTTACTATGTAAACGTTTATTGCTGAATGCCCTAGCTTTGCCTGCTTTTAAACTTTATGTAGCTAGAATCATACATTTTTTTTCTTTTGACTTATTTAACATTGTTTGTGAGATTCATCCACTTTGTGCATATATAGTTTATTCACTTTCACTGTTATATAGTAGTCCATTGCATAACATTATGTATTTTTCTATTGTACTGATTATGTACATTTAGATTGTAGAGGTATCTTTAAATATCCTCCACTAAAATGGAAGATTTAAGATGATAGATTTATCTATGTCTCCTTACAGTTTTGTTAGTTTTTGCTTTATATATTTCAGAGCCATGTTATTAGATGTATACAAAGATAAATTGTATCTTCTTGCTGGGTTAACCCTTTTATGGTCACAAATGATTGCTTTTTTTATCTGATAAACATTGTCAGAGCAGTTTTTTTTCAATGGAGTTATACAATTTTGTTTTACATTTATGTACAATTTATGTACAACTTTTTTACATTCAGGGGTTACGTGTACAAATTCGTAAATGGATATATTGAGTGATGCTGAAGTTTGAGCTTCTATTGAACCTATCACTCAAATAGTGAAGATGGTAAACAATAGGTAGATTTCAACCCTTGTCCCCCTCCCTCCTTCCATTTAGAGTCCCCAGTGCCTGTTAATTCTGTCTATGTGCATGTGTACCCAATATTTAGCTCCTATTATACATGAATATGTGTTATTTGGTTTTCTGTTTCTTCATTAATTCACCTAGGATAATGGCCTCCATCTCCATCCTTGTTGCTGCAAAGAACATGATTTCATTCTTTTATGGCTGCATAGTATTCCATGGTGTATACATACCACATTTTCTTTATCCAATCCACTGTTGATGGGCACATAGGGATTGATTCCATGTCTTTGCTATTGTGAATAGTGCTGCAACAAACATTAGACCGCATGTATCTTTTTGGCAGAATGATTTATTTTCCCTTGAGTGTGTACCCACTAACGGGATTGCTGGGTAAATTGCTATCTTTAGTTCTTTGAGAAGTCTCCAAACTGGTTTCCACTGGAGCTGAATTAATTAATTTACATTCCCACCAATAGTGTATAAGCATTCCTTTCTCTCTGTGACCTTGCTAACATTTGCTAAAAAATATATATAAATATATATAATATATTTATAATAGCCATTTTGACTAGTTTGAGATAATATCTCATTGTGGTTTTGATTTGCGTTTCTCTAATGAATAGTGATGTTGAGCATTTTTTCATGTTTTCTGACAATTTATGTCTTCTTTTGAGAACGGTCTGTTCATGTCCTTTTCCAACTTTCTAATGGAGTTATTTGGTTTTTGCTTCATGATTTTTTAAAATTCCTTATAGACCCTGGATATTAGTCGTTTATCAGATACATAGCTCACAAATATTTCTCCCATTCTGTAGGTTGTTTATTTACCTTGTTGATAGTTTATTTGGCTGTGCAGAAGCTCTTTTGTTTAATTAGGTCCCAGTTGTCAATTTTGGGGTGTGCTGCATTTGCTTTTGAGGTCTTAGTCATAAATTCTTCACCTAGGCCAAAAGCCAGAAGAATATTTTGTAGGTTTTCTTGTAGGATTGTTATAGTTTGAGGTCTTACACTTAAGTCTTTACTCCACCTTAAGTTAATTTTTGTATGTGGTAAGAGGGTAGGGATTAAGGTTGATTCTTCTGCATATTGTTACCCAGTTTTCCAGCACCATTGATTAAATAGTCTGTCCTTTCCCCATTGTTCTTTATTTCTGAGTTCTCTATTTTGTTCCATTGGTCAATGTGTCTATTTTTGTACCAGTACCATGGGTTTTGGTTACTGTAGCCTTATAGTATGAGACACCATCTCACATCAGTGAGAATGGCTACTATTAAAAAGTTTTAAAAATATCAAATGCTGGTTAGGCTATAGAGAAAAGGTGATACTTATACACTGTTGATAGGAATGTAAATTAGTTCAGCCTCCGTGGAAAGCAGTTTGGAAATTTCTCAAAGAACTTAGAACTATCATTTTACCCAGCAATCCCATTACTGGATATATATATACCCAAAGGAAAATAAACCATTCTACCAAAACTACACATGTACTCATATGTTCATCACTGCACTATTCACAACAGCAAAGACATAGAACCAACTCAGCAAAGACACAGAACCAACTGGATAAAGAAAATATAGTACATATACACCATGGACTGTTATGCAGCCATTAAAAAAATAAAATCACATTAATTTGAGATGGATTAAAGACTTAAATGTTAGACCTAAAACCATAAAAACCCTAGAAGAAAACCTAGCCAATACCATTCAGGACATAGGCATGGGCAAGGACTTCATGACTAAAACACCAAAAGTAACGGCAACAAAAGCCAAAATAGACAAATGAGATCTAATTAAACTAAAGAGTTTCTACACAGAAAAAGAAACTACCATCAGAGTGAACAAGCAACCTACAGAATGGGAGAAAATTTTTGCAATCTACTCATCTGACTAATATCCAGACTCTACAAAGAACTTAAATAAATTTACAAGAAAAAAACAACCCCATCAAAAAGTGGGCAAAGGATATGAACAGACACTTCTCAAAAGAAGACATTAATGCAGCCAACAGACACATGAAAAAATGCTCATCATCACTGGCCATCAGAGAAATGCAAATCAAAACCACAATGAGATACCATCTCACACCAATTAGAATAGTGATCGTTAAAAAGTCAGGAAATAACAGGTGCTGGAGAGGATGTGGAGAAATAGCGCTTTTACACTGTTGGTGGGAGTGTAAATTAGTTCAACCATTGTGGAAGACAGTGTGGCAATTCCTCAAGGATCTAGAACTAGAAATACCATTTGACCCAGCGATCCCATTACTGGGTATATATCGAAAGGATTATAAATCATGCTACTATAAAGATACATATGTTTATTGCAGCACTATTCACAATAGCAAAGACTTGGAACCAATCCAAATGTCCATCAGTGATAGACTGGATTAAGAAAATGCAGCACATATACACCATGGAATACTATGCAGCCATAAAAAAGGATGAGTTCATGTCCTTTGTAGGGACATGGATGAAGCTGGAAACCATCATTCTGAGCAAACTATCACAAGGACAGAAAACCAAACACTGCATGTTATCACTCATAGGTGGGAATTGAACAATGAGAACACTTGAACACAGGGCAGGGAACATCACACACTGGGGCCTGTTGTAGGGTAGGGGGCTGGGGGAGGGATAGCATTAGGAGAAATACCTAATGTAAATGCCAAGTTGATGGGTATAGCAAACCAACATGGCACATGTATACCTATGTAACAAACCTGCACATTGTGCACATGTACCCTAGAACTTAAAGTATAATAATAAAAAAGACACAAACACCCCAAATAAAGAGATTAATATTACTTTAAGAATAAAAAATAAATAAATAAAATAAAATCACATCCTTTGCAGCAACATGGGTGCAGCTGGAGGCCATTATCCTAAGCAAATTAACACATAAACAGAAAACCAAATATCACATGTTCTCACTTATAAGTGGTAGCTAAGCATTGGGTACACATGGACATCAAGATGGGAGCAATAGACACTGAGGACTACTAAGGAGGATGAGAGAGAGTGAAGAAATAGCTGAAAAACTACCTATTCCTTACTATACTCACTACTTGGGTGATGGGATCACGTGTACCCCAAACCTCAAAATCAAACAATATAGCCATGTAGCAAACCTGCACATGTCCCCCCTGAATCTAAATAAAAGTTGACAGAAGCTCTCTGGGGCCTTTTTCATAAGAGCACTAACATATTCATCAAGGCTCCACCTTCATGATATAATCACCTCCCAAGGAACCCACATGTTAATACCATCATATTGGCAATTAGATTTTTTGACATACAAATTTTGGGGGGATGCATACATTCCATCCACAGCAGCTAGCTAGAACATAATGTACATGGTTCTAATTGCTTATTTAGTTGGTTGACTAAAACCTACACTGAACAGTTGCCTGAGTAAAGTGAAGGCCAGAACAAATTCCTTGGTGTTATTAAAAGAGACAATTGAAAGTTTGGGAAGATATGGTATGTTGAGCTGGTTTTAACATGTGCATTCCATGTATGTAGCCCAAGTATGCATCTTCCAAGAAGATCTCAGGAGCATCTTCTACTCCATGACATTGAACTCACTGGTAAAGAAGCATAACTATTATTAAGAAGTACTGAAATCACTATTTTATGTAGCTCTGAGATGTAAGAGATGAATAGCAAATCTAAATGGGATCAATTTCAATAATGATATCAAAACCCTAAAGTGACAGAGGTCATATGTGTGCTAAAAGTATAACACCAAGGTCAATAGGGCAATCATAACAGTAGCCAAAAATGTCTGACCTATAGGGAACTTTAGAGGTGGCTAATTAAATATAATGTCCTTAAAATCATTGCTGGACAACCCAGTAAGGTGCTACTTGATATGTACGATTCAATACATTCTAGGGACAGAGAGCAAGAAAGGAAACTGATTTGAAATACTATGAAATGTAGTGAAAGCTCCTCACACAATTCTCAGACCTGAATCAATTCAGAGATCTAGAGTATCTTAAAGAAATATTTTGTAAATTGAGAAAAAACCTTGCAGTAACATCACATACTTATTCGGATACACATATATACTCTCATTCTTCAACTATTCCAAATGATTTTGAGGCTATTTAAAGGTAACTATTAATGAGAAAGGGAAATACCCAGACTTTCAGGAGTTATTACACATGACTTTGAGCTGCACTAATTTTTGGAGGTCCAGAAGTCCACTGTTGTCCAGTCTGCCAATCATAGAGGAAGCTTATAAGAATCAGGATGTAAGTGGAATTTTGACCTAATTTCACCTTATTGTGAGCCCAATATCAACCAGATTTAGAATTGGAATAGATTTGGTCATCAACTGCCAAAATTACCCCAATATTGGCTCCTGGATCTAGGGAATAGAGCTATTACATTGGAAGGTTCAAGTGGAGGCCCCTGGATCTACTCATCCCAGCCAATATGGCAAATCAAAGAATGTTGATTTCTTCAGGAAAATGGGGTAAATAATCTGATTTTTATTATCATTATTATTCAGTCCTACTATCACGCTGGCTCTGATCTGAAGCCAGGGCTGATTTATTGCAATCATAAGCAAATATATTTTACAGCTCATTAGTATAATTACATACCTTTGATCTGAAAGTTGTTTACCTGAAATTAGACTTTGGGTTTGGATTAGCTGGCTCACAGTTCAATGACTCTTCAGAGAACAGGGCAACTTCTGCTCATAGTAAATTTTAGAGACCCCATGGAGTCTAAAGATTGTCCAGGGATTCACATCTCCTGTGTCTGGAACTGAAGATGAGGTGCAGAATTGAAGACAAAGCCCCAGAGGACTCATAGGTGAGACGACATCTCTGCCAACCCCTGCTTCCCTAGCATCTCAAGCTGATACATCTGTAAATCATAGCACATCCCCAGATAATGGGGCATTACAGCAACAGGGGATGTCATTAATTCTCATTCATATATATGTGTGTGTGTGTGTGTGTGTGTGTGTGTGTGTGTATATGTATATTCAAATAGCAATTACAAATACTAAGAAATACACCATTTCCCCCTTTGGGGCCTGAAACTACCTGACTCTCTGAAATTGAAAAAAAACTGGCATTTTTAAATAAAATTTCTAAAATCTCTACTAACTACTTTGTGGATGACTGGTGAGTACTGTCTGAATCTATAGTTTGCCCCACCCCTGACAGCGACCATCTGGTCAGGTTTCATTCAGAAACCAATAACAGGCTTGAAAATAATCTCTTACGTCAATCTGTGCAAATGCGTGCATGTTCACCAAGTGAGAGTTCTGAAAGATTCTATGAATGGTGGGGATCCAGGTTTCAAGCAAACAGAATCTGACATAAATAGTAAAACTAATAAGAGTAAGAACGAGACTAAAGAAGGCATTTTTAACCTTGCATTAAGAATTGCCTTTGTAGAAATAACTCCTGGCCAAAAAGATATCAAAATCTTTTACTATATTGTTTTATAGTAAAATGCTAAAGAAAATTATCTTCATCTTCATGTCTTGTTTTATCAGATTGCTTTTGTTAAGTTCAATAATAATTAAGGAGATGCGTATTTCCTTTTTTTCCAAGTTACATACAAATTGTGTTTTAAGTGTGTACACTTGCAAATTAAATACTTGGGGGAAGAGCATTCAAAGATTAATAATATGCAATTTAAAAAGCAAAACAATATAAAATGTGAAAAGAAAGAATTTTAAATGTCAAATTAGGTATAAAGTAAGTACATAGACTAAAGGAAATAGGTCTTCTTATTCAACTGCATGCACTTGTGAATAAGTTTAAATAATTCTGAAAATAGAATGGCTAGAAATAATTATAGACACCCTAGTAGGTAACAATAGCTTTGAAGCATGAATTAGTTAATTAATGCTATAGTTCTAGGTATTCAATTGGTCAATAAAGGACATTTTCACTTAATGTCATATCTAAAAGAGCAGGAAAGAAAAGGATATGAGGGTGTAGTGTAGCAATGAATGTTCTGTCAGCTCTTTGGACATCTGTCTGTGTGGGAGGACAACACACCTAGAATACCAGTCAAATAACAGCATCTTATAATCTTATCATACATTTGTCTTATCTTCCTGATGTAAATCATATGAAGTCCGTGGTGCTCCATGCCAGTGGCATATTAACATATCCTTAAATAAAAATATCAAGCCATGATGTATTATCAGAATTCCTTCCATTGAATATTTTTCTAGATTACCCTTTTACTTGGATATTTTCATTCCCAGGTAACAAAACTGCACATGTCCCCCCTAAATCTAAAGGTTGAAAAGAAATAAATTGATATATAAAAAATGAAATTAAGCAAAATACACATATATAAAAAGAAATTAATGGCTAAAATCAGGCTCAGATGTAAGATGGAATATTATCAGAATGCAGGCCTACAGTGGTATAAATCAAGGAAGGGATAAGAGAAAAAGATTTTTAAATGGCTTGGGGTGAGAGTCACAGGAGCAAATGTCAATTTTTTAAAAACCATGTTCAATGTGCTTTGTAGACATGAATGAAGTAATACAATTTTGGAGTTATGTTTGCAGAACTAACACGACAATGTGCTGAGAGAAAGCTATTTACATCTAATCTCAATCCTACTGATTATTCATTGTCTTCCTCAATGCCTGTGAATATTTCATTTTTTTCCCAGAAGAAAATAAATTCAAGGAACAAAATGACTGCAGAGATTCAGTATACCAGACCAAAGTGCCTCCATGTGTTCCCCAAAAATCAAGAGCATCAAAGGTCTCTCTCCATATCTTTCTTAATATTGAATGTCCTCATCCTCGTATGGAAATAGGAGCCAATCCTGACACCCCAATTTGGTTGGAATTTCTCTTGTCCCATGCACATTTCAGTGTGTATGGGCTGCTGCCATTCCCACAGTATACTGCACAGTCTCATTTTACAGAGAGCAACCAATGTCATGATGGGCACCTTTATCCAGATTTATTTCTTACATGCCCCACTCACCAAGGATCACCATTTCCTAGCCAGAGAATCCTATGGGCAATCCAGGTCCATCAGGCACTCTGTGAGCTACATAGTCACAGTGACTGTGGAAGTTCAAAGGGAGCTGCTGGCCCAGCCTCACTTGAGTTCAAGGACACACACAATGGCAGTCTCTCTGCTTCTGCGTGCTGACTGGACTATCGTCTGTCTCTAGTCTTACACAGCCCCTCAGACTCTAACTCTTACCTGTTAGGGTTTTGCTCAAAAGATTGCCAGATTTTTTTTTTAACTGGTGTTGCCTTAAAGATCACCAGTGCTATGAGGACCATCTTCATCCTTCAGGTACCCAACCTGGCTTTAGTCCCAAGGATTCTCCCCTCTGAAGCTTTTTGCAGCCACGTCTTCCACCTCTCAATCCTGAGTCTATCCAACCTTATTCTCTGAGATTACAAAACAAACTGGCTCAAGTCTTGTCCTAAATTGTGCCAGGTAACCACAGCCATAATCATGCTGAACCCCCTTCATACACTTCAAGGCATTCTGAGGGAAGGAATTTCCCAGAGACGGTCCCAATAAAAAGACTATTGAATGTGCATCAAAGGGAAGCACATTAAAGCCTCTGCTGTCAATTAAGCTGAAACTGAAGCCCAGTCTGTTTGGTGTCATCTGGTCTTGGAAACTGAGATAATACGTTTGAATTTCAAAAATATCAAATGTAAAAAACCAAAATGTTCTGTATAAAACAAAAGAAACAGTCCATATTTTAAAACTTTGCTGAGTGGTTGTTTGTTTTTTTCTCAAATAAAAATTTTCTTCATGCCATTTCTTTTTTCTCTTACATACTCTATGGGGCATGTGGGTGGGGAATACAGAAGACATTCATTTCTCACATCACACAACACCTATTTATTTTGAGCTTATGCAGTAAAAATTCTGAGTTAGTCTCACCCATGGACTTTCCTCTCTGAAGGAAAACAACACAAGTTAATTTTACTATTAAAAAAATTTAACAGTATTATGTGAATCATTTTCTGGAAAAATATTTTTCTGTTATAGCACATGTTATTGAATAAATCCTGTAGGTCGATATGTTTGTGTCATTCAAATAAATCTGATGGATGCAAACAATTGGGCATTCGAATTGTGATAGTCATAATGTAATCACAGCCCAGAGTGTCTTTTCTCAGGTCGTAAAGAGCAGAGACTTTCCTGGGCCAAACAACCAAGCCACACACATGGCTCACAAATACAAAGAAAGTAAATGCAGGAGTGAAAAAGCCTTCCTTTACCCTGAAGCTTGAAATTTCCCACTCCAGGATAGTATCAGCACTTCTTCCAACTGATTTAAATTAAATACAAAGAAAGTAAATGCAGGAGTGAAAAAGCCTTCCTTTACCCTGAAGCTTGAAATTTCCCACTCCAGGATAGTATCAGCATTTCTTCCAACTGATTTAAATTAAATACAAAGAAAGTAAATGCAGGAGTGAAAAAGCCTTCCTTTACCCTGAAGCTTGAAATTTCCCACTCCAGGATAGCATCAGCACTTCTTCCAACTGATTTAAATTAAATACAAAGAAAGTAAATGCAGGAGTGAAAAAGCCTTCCTTTACCCTGAAGCTTGAAATTTCCCACTCCAGGATAGTATCAGCACTTCTTCCAACTGATTTAAATTAAATACAAAGAAAGTAAATGCAGGAGTGAAAAAGCCTTCCTTTACCCTGAAGCTTGAAATTTCCCACTCCAGGATAGTACCAGCACTTCTAGCCCTGCTTAAATTTTGGTAAGAGTAAGACAGAATTATAGGTGGACATTCCTCGGAGCTTAACCGACTCTATACTGTATTAATAGGGAAACATTTCATCAAGGGAAATCTAAGCCTCAAACCAAATGCGGCAGCACATCAGCTACTCCAGTGCACACAGGATAATTCAGAGCCCCCACCCACCCACGGTGCTATGAAAGAATCATCAACCCCACATGAGTTCCTGGCTGTGGTAGAACAAAGTATCAGTTGTTTTGGGTTATGTCCCTAGCACTTACTGGTCATTGCCTTCAAGAAAGAATGTTACCAAGATTCTTACAATCTAGAGAATGCTCTGTCTCAAAGTGTATCCCCAGTTGAATGCATGAATCATATGTGTACCTTCCTTTAACATGAGTCCTTCCCCAAAACTAGAATTAAATCTCATGACCAAGCTGATCCTTAAAAACACCTTCCTCCTCTTTAGAATCTCGCTGATGACTGACACCCCTGGACTTAGAATTTCTCTTTCTCAGATTTGTGAGCAATAGGGTGGCATAGTGTAAATGCTGGTTCAGAAGTGCCGAAGTCAGTCTTCCCTTAGCTCTGTGAGACACAGAGTGTCAGTTGCTCCCTTCATCTCCTCCCTTCTGGGCATTCACCCAGACAAAATCCGCAATGTCATCTGCTTTCTGCAAACCCAGTCTTTAGAAGGCCTGGCTGGATTTCACCCCAGATATTCAGTTCCTAGAATTGGCTCCTCATGCAATGAGAATTCCACAGAAAAACCAATTCTTGCTAAAAAGTACATTACCATTTGTACTGGGACTAGACAGTGAAATGATAGTGATGAAATGTGACATAAATGGCAGTAGTTCAGCTGGCTCTCTGACTCTGTCCCCAACTCCGGCCCCTTTGGTCACTACCCAAGATAGGCACAGTCCTAGGGACTGGAAACAAATGTCCTATGGCTTATTGTTAAGGTAACCTGGTGATGAGCAACTACAGCATTTGCAAAATCATGGAGTTCTTCTATTCGCAAATCAAACTTACATTGCACTCTCCACCAGATATAGCCTAGATATTCTCCCTCCTCACCAGAATGAAAAGTCACAGATTTACCTTCTACAAGTTACTTAAACTGACAAAGTTGACTAAGAAAGACCACTAAAACCAAACCTCCAGGTCTGACCCAATATTGTAGTTTTTTTCCAGTTTCCTCCTCTTTGGTGTGAATTAATGAACTTCAGGAATGCTGAGGGAGAGAAAATGCACTTTCTAATTTGAGAATGCTCTTGACTTCAGCTCTGCCTTGACTTAAATGCTAAGGTTGCGGACAGTGTCGTTGTACTTTAAGGGCTGTACAACCAGGTTCTAATCTTTTTTTCCCCAGTGGCCATGAGAAAAAGGCCAGCCGCATTGAGAAACTGACCCTAGCCACACCAGGAGGCATGGATTGCCCCAGTTTCAATCCAGAGAGAAATGGAGAAGGGAGAGAGGGGAGGAGGTCTACAGGACCATTAGAACATTCAGTCTCTGACTCCTTAATTTGATTTGATGGGAAATACACAACAGTAGGAGAAATGAACACTACTTTTCTCTTACAATATCTTTTGGGATAAATATGCTAACCAAGATCATCTTTCCTTTGCAAGCAAAAATGTCCTATATGTGCATCCTAGTCATACAATCTTTGCATAATCTTACCTAGCCTCCCATAAAACATTTACAGCCACAACTTCAAGGCCACCCACTGTAGATGTCATGGAAAAGGGAGGATGGCTGTCTCCTAGTATCACACCCAAGGTTCTGAACATGGGAGGCATCCTGAGAACAGGCACCAAAGCATCATGACCTGAGTCATCTTTAGTCACGGGGATGATTTAAGGATTTTAATTCCCAAGGGTGATTTAAATCAAATGTAAAGTATCTCAGAGAAACCTGTATAAACTGTTCCCTAGGTACCCACGAAGTTCTGGAATCACAATAGATAACAGACTTATTACACTGTAACTTTATAAGTACAGTTTCTGTGGAGCACAAAAACCAAGCCCTCCAGTCAGATATGAAGAAGTCTGTTTGTCTGACTGGAAATGCACTAGATGGATGCTTCCAGAACACTGGGAATCCCGACTAACTGTCCGACAGGCGCTTGGTAAGTTGCATTTACTTCTAAGGCTGTCATGTCTAAAGCCACAAGGCAGCCAAGAGAAGGGTTTCAGTTCCAGGACTGTGAGGAGGACAGGGCTTTGGGACAGGTGTGCTTTGTTTCCACCAGAGGTGAAATGGGGAAATATTGGTTGGCTCTTACTTGGAAAGCTGGGATTTTTTTTTAACCAGTGGATTATTCTATGAGGAAACTGCAGCAGGGACCTGAGAAACACAGGAAGCCTCTGAAATCACAGGCAAAATTTTATGTAAGTCAAGTCTTCCTAGGGATGGGTACTTAGCTTTCATCAGATTTTCAAAGTGGTTTATGTTCTTTCACTTTCTAAGATTTAAGAATATTTCTTAGGTTCTTCAACCAAGTTGTTTGAATTGTTTCCCCATAAACAGTAAAGGTAAGGAAGAAAACAGCAATGAGTTGTCAAATGTTGAACAAACTGGTTAAACACAATAAATTGTAAATGTGCTGGAACAAATTAAGAGGAAGTGTTACTGAACTCATTCCAATATGCCTACAATTTCCTCACAGGAGTCTAATCTTGCAAGAAAAAAATAGGGAAAACAAAATTATGAAAAAATAAACACTGACAAATCATAAGTGGAGAGATAGTTTAGGCAGAGGGCTCTGGAATCAGCCTACCTGGTTTCAGATCCTGCCTCATCTATTTTGGGAATCTGACAAACTACTGAGCATTTCTATGTCTTAGTTTCCTCCTTAAGAAAATAATGAAAATAACAGTTATGTACTAAATAATATATGTAAAGCAGAATGAATCTTGGCATATTGAAAGTATTCAGATAACTACTCATTATTTGGATTCATTAAGTTTGAGAGTCATTAAATCTCAGCATTTTTGTAAAAGCAGACCACAAATTTTTGCTTAAGTAGAAAATTATAAGACAAATATTTATAATTAGAGATTTACTATTTTGTTTTTCCTGGAATTTATCATCAGGTCTAGTTATATTCTAAAAACTAATAGCCTTGATATTATTAGTAATCCTTAAACTTAAAAGTTATTTCAATTAGAAGTTCCTTGGAATGCAGAATAACATTTTAATAGGATAAAATGATACACAAATATTTAGCTAATGGAATAGAAATTTTTAAAAACCTCCAAATTAGAATGTGTTAACCATGTCTTAGAAACTTTAGAGGCAAATGTGAAATCACATCAGTAACAGCTAACAGAGTTAAAAAAAAATATCTTCTGCCAGGCAAGAGCTGTTAAAGCTAGAATCTCCACACTGGTTTTTAGACTCTTCCAGAATTACTAAACCTTTCCATGTCTCAGTTTGAAGTGGTAACTGCTCGAATGGACGTGGAAGACTTGATCACTTCTAGAAATGAACCCAAAAGAATTTAGATGGCACAGAATTAAAAAAAAAAATTACAAGCAAACATTTTAATGGGTAAGACTGTCTAAGTGCAGTGCCTGAAGAGGTTTGGTTTTGTGTTAGGCTATGATTGAGAGAGATAAGACCACAACAAAACAGGTTACATCTACCATAAGCTAGGAGTGTCAGAAATGCTCATATTTCCAAGGTTCCTTACTACTTTTTAGACATCTTAGGGCACCTTTCTTCCCTGCTGACTCCTTTCCCCACCCGTTAAAGATATATTTTACCCTAAGGTCTGTCCCTGAGCCCTTGCTGTCACTATTCTCTCTCCCTGAATGATCTCATTGGTTCCCATCCTTCATTCCATCATCTGTATATCCATGGCTCCTGAACCAGGATCCTGGCTCTGACTGTGCAATGAACCTTTGTCCATCCTTCCAGCTGAATTCAACACTATTTTCTCCTACTCCACTCCTAGCCTAGACTTACTATGTTGAATGTATTCGAAGTAACAACACAGCAATGTTGTTAAATAAATATAGTGGGGAAATTTCCTTCCTCTTTTCTCTCAATTATGTCTTCTACTTTTGAATTCCATGATATTAATTGTGGTAGAAGTGTGTGTGTGTATTTGTGTGTGTGTGTGTGTGTATGTTTAAATTGTGTCAGATCTCCCTAGGAAAGAGGTAAGGTAAAATTAAACCAAACTTTTAAGTCTTACATTACCATTATTCTGAGACTTGAAAACTCAGAGTCTCAGTCAATTGTCAAGTGACACAAACTCTGTCTTTGAGACACTTCTTGCGCCTATCTTCTTTCTTCATTTCTGCCATGATTCCCTAGTTCAAACCCTGATCCTGTCTGACATGGAAAATGTCTCAGCCCGTGTCCTTGCTGATGGCTCTCTTCCTTCACACCATCCACATACACTGCCAGACCACCTCCATGAAAGCTGAATGCTGGTCAAGTCAATTCTACTGCTCAAGTGTTCAATGGGTCCACGCTCACTACTGAACTAGTTACTGGATCCCCCTGACATCTACAGCTTTTCACATGTTTATCCACCATGAATCTCTTTCATAGGCATTTTCTTTCACCCAAAAGGAAGCCCACAGTCGCCAGTGCATGCTCTGGGCTGTTCTGGCTGAACCCCTTGCTCGATTGTTCTCTGTACCCAAGACTCTCCTTTAATCCACTCTTCACATTTTGAGGTTCTTTCCATCTTCTAATGGCCAGCTCAGTTCACTTTGAAGGCTGCCGACTCTCTGCAGGATACAGACTGAACTCCTTATAGAAGGATACTAGGCCCTCTGTTATCTAGCCCAGATATGCATTTCCAGCCACGTTTCTTATCACTAACTCACAAGCAGTACCACCTTTTGATCCAAACAAAAGGGACTCTGCCTTGGCCCCATTCTTCAGATCCATTCTGGGCTTCTTACTACTGCACCACATTCCATGGGGCAAGGCATCTATGATGCCAAATGGATGTGTCCTTCCAGTCCCTGGTATCCACCCCTTCTAGACCATCTTCCTAGTAACAGGACTGTAAGGTTCCTTGCTCAAAAGGCCCCCAACTTATTCCCAGAGTCCATAAGTGTCTCTTTACCAAATCATCCTTGCAAGGGTAAACCATGCTGCTCATGTTCTCACACCTAGGCCTTATGGGTGGCCAAGGGATGGCCACTTGCAGGAGTGTAAACAGAGCTTATACATTCTTGCTTGGATGTCTGTGCAAGTGCAGTCATGTGGGCTAGCAACCAGTCCTCCTCACCAACACTGCCTTCCAGTCTGGAATTCCAAGGATCCCAAGAATTCTTCCTTCCAGATATTATAAAGGATAGTTGTTAAGGAGGTAGGATAAAATGTGTTTTAGTAATTTGTTATCTTGATTTTTAACTTTTAAATATTTAGGCATATTGTATGTGAGCCTTCATTTATTATTCTTGCCCTGGGCCCTGCCAATGCCAAAGGCAGGTTTGCTCCTAGGAAGCCTGCTTTCTAACCACACCAAATATTTGTAGTTATTTAACGCCTGGACTTCCTCAAACCTCAGTAACTTTGCACAGGCTATTCCCTCTGTCTAGAATGCCTGAGAATTTCCTTGTACTTATGAAGCATCCTTCAAGAGGATAAAAGGTAAAAATTACCACCACTGTTACTGTATATTAACATTGCTCTGGAAGTACTAACCAATACAAGTAGAGAAGAAAAAGGAACAAGAATACGTTAGAGAAATGAGAAATGAAACTCACATCCTTTCATATTGTATGATTATGCAGTTAAGAAACCCAAGAGAATCAACCAGAAAACTATTTTTAAATGATAGGAAACTATTGTAAGGAAGAGAGTTATAAAATTAATTTATAAAAATCGTAGTTTTGCTATACACAAATAATACTTGAATAGACCACAAAAAACTCTTTTTAAGATTTAATTTACAATAGTAACAAAAAGATAAAATATCTGTGACTAGAATTTAAAGAAATACATAGGATGTATATCTGTAAAGTTTAGAGAAAACTCTAAAACTCTAGGAAATTATTTAATCAATAAAATAAATACCATAGTTACAGAAAAGAAGATTCAGTTGTAAAAATGTCAATTTTCCCTTAAATTGACAAATCAATTTAATGCAATAGCGTTCCAAGTACAAACAGGATTTTTTTGGAACTTGATAAAATAATGTTAGAATGCATCTGGAAAATGTACATGTGAGAATGGCCAGAAAAATTGCTACTAGATAGTAAAATGAATTATATAACTATTTAATTTAAATGTGTGGTCCTGGTTCTAGAAAAGACTACAAAAAAATCATAAATTGACCCAAGTACTTCAGGATGTTTTAGTATTAGCATAGGATAAGTCTGGAGTTTTAAATAAACAAAACCAGCAGGAAAACAATTTCACAAATAAGTTGCATTAGATCATCTGGCTAGCCATTTGAAGAAATAAGTAAAAATACAGTCATGCAGTGCATAATGACATTTCAATCAACAACAGACAGCTTACAATGGTGGTCCCATAATATTATAATACTGTATTTTAGTGTACCTTCTCTTTGTTTAGATATGATTAGATACACAAATACCATTGTGTTACAATTGCCTACAATATTCAGTACAGTAATATGCTGTACAGGTTTGTAGCCCAGGAGCAATAAGCTATGCCATATAGCCTAGATGCATAGTAGGCTATACCATTTCGGTTTGTGCAAGTACACTCTATGATGTTTACACGATGACAGAATCACTGAACAATGCATTTCTCAGAATGTATTCCTGTCTTTATGTGATGCATAACTGTAGTTGATTGCCTCATTCCTTATATCGAAATTAAATTTCCAGGAAAATCAAAGTTTGTAATATAAAATTGAAATGAAGTAAGTCTCTGGACTAAAACAGGAGATAATTTTTTAAATAATTTTAAATCGAAGAAGTTTCATTTAACCATGTTGCAAAGATCAGAATTCAAAAGGAAAAGGATTGATAAATTTGAAATCAAACAATGCAAACCTCACTGCATAGCACACAAAGTAATTATCACACCAATGTTAAGGGACAACTGACAAACTGAAAAGTAATTTGCAATACATGCATCAGACAAAGAGCTGGTTTCCTTAATAAACGAAGACCTCCTAGAAATAAAATGTTCTAGAAAATCAATCAACCTAATAGAAAAATTCACAAAGGAACTGACAGTTCATAGGGAAAAAATATACATACAAATAATTGTTTGAAAAATGCTAAACCCTACTCATAAAAACACACAAAACTGCAGGAGCTACCAATGTCCACTATCACAGTGGCAAAGGCTTAAAACTTAATAAAACTTTGGATAAAAGTATGGGAAAATCAGTGTTCTTGCACAATCTCGTTAGAAGCGAGTTTGACTCGGTGAAATTTACTTGGAGGTCAATTTGTCAATCACGATCAAAAAAGTAAAGTGAATATATACATTTTGACCCAAACTTCACTTCTAGTGGTTTATCTTTTTCTTTTTTTTTCTTTTGAGATGGAGTCTCGCTGTGTCACCAGGCTGGAGTGCAGTGGCACCTTCTCAGCTCACTGCAACCTCTGTCTCCTGGGTTCAAGAGATTCTCAGGCTTGAGCCTCCCGAGTAGCTGGGATTACAGTGGGATTACAGGCACGTGTCACCGCACCCAGCTAATTTTTTTTTTTTTAGTAGAGATGGGGTTTCACCATGTTGGCCAGGATGGTCTCGATCTCCTGACCTCATGATCCGCCCACCTCAGCCTCTCAAAGTACTGGGATTACAGGCTTGAGCCACCATGCCTGACCTAGTGGTTTATCTTTAATCCACAAACATGCTTAGACATATGAGCGCAAGCTTTATTTGAGATAGAAAAAAAAAACAAAATTGTAAACATTTAAATATCCATTAAGAGAGAACTTATTAATAAATTATGATACAGTTATGAAAATGTCATGGATTTCTATGAACTACTTTGGAAATACGTCTTTAACTTTTATTTTAAGTTCAGGGGTAACTGTGCAGGATGTGCAGGTTTGTTACATAGGTAAATGTGTGTCATAGGGGGTTGTTGTACAGATTATTTCATCACCCAGGTATTAAGCCTAGTATTCATTAGTTACTTTTCCTGATCTTCTCCCTCCTCCCACCCTCCACCCTCCAATAAGCCCCAATGTGTGTTGTTCCCCTCTATGTATCCATGTGTTCTTATCATGGAAATATTTCTTAAGTGTAAGAAGAGAAAAGGTACAAAACTGTATGATTTCATTTATGTAGAAAAGTATGTGTGTGTGTGTTTTGTGTGTATTGATACTTGTTTATACCTAAGCATTCTTAGAAGAATACTAAAGGAACTGTTAACATTGGATACCATTAATTATATTGGAGGTAGAGGAGAGAAACTGTTTTTTCATTTATATCCCTTTCTCCTATTGATAATTTCACCAAGTGGATATATTACATTTATAATTTTAAATATCCAGCCTAAAATTTAGGACAATTCAGTGTTGCCTAAGACTGCTGATCCTCCACCCCCACACACGGTTGAGTTAGGAGATTCCTCTCTTTCAGAGCATTACCCACAGTGAATTGTAACTAGTTACTTACACGTATGTTTCTCCTACCAGCCTGTGCATTCATTGAAGGCAGACATACGTTTTATTCATGTTTGTGTCACCTTCACTTAGCATAGCATCTGGCACATTGAAGAGGGGCAATATGTGTTTGATAAGTGAACGAGAATGAATGAATGAAGCTTTTCCATTTCCACCATCCACATTCAATCTCTCCCTCCTGTGAACTCCTACAGCACTCTGCAGCTCCAAAAATACTTGGCTCACTTCCCCTTAGGAATGTTTTACGAACCCTCCACTAGACTCCATAAGAACAAAGACAATGTCATTGTCATACCCATCTCCAGCCCAGCACCAAGCATGCTATCTGGCCCCACACAAAGCCCAGAAGTATCTGTTGAGTTGAACTGAAAACACCAACACTGTTAACGTAAAAATAGGTTCTGTCCTAGGAAAATCGTTCTCCTGGTTCCAAAAAGAAATGAGTTCAGTCTTGCCAAGTCTGTTTTAGCAGAATAAAGTCCCATAGCTAATGACAGCCTTTAACTATTGGAAATGTAAAGCCACATTTTTTTTTTCGTATGGTAATGCAACAAAGAGGTAAGAAGCGTTTGTTTTTAAGTATCTAATCATTTCTTATTTTTTGCAGCAGGCGAGAGAACATGACAAAAGGCAATCGTACCACAGTGACCGAATTTGTCCTCATGGGATTCACAGACCGTCCTGAGCTGCAGCTCCCCCTCTTTGTGGTGTTCCTTGTCATTTATCTCATCACCCTGGTGGGAAACCTTGGCATGATCCTGCTGATCAGAGCAGACTCGCGGCTCCACACCCCCATGTACTACTTCCTCAGTCACCTGGCATTCATTGATCTGTGTTACTCATCTTCTATTGGGCCCAAGATGCTGCAAAATGTATTGGTGAAGAAAAAAACCATCTCCTTTTCAGGCTGTTTTGCTCAGCTGTACTTCTCCGGTGCTTTTGCCACTACAGAATGATTCCTCTTGGCCACAATGCCCTACGACCGCTACGTGGCCATCTGCAACCCCCTGATTTACACAGCTATTATGACGCAGCGGGTCTGCGGGGAGTTAGTGATAGGGGTCTATACCTATGGCTTCCGAAACTCTGTGATACAGACAGCTCTGACGTTTCAGCTGTCTTTCTGCAACTCCAACGTCATCCACCACTTCTACTGTGCTGACCCCCCTCTCCTGGCCCTCTCCTGCTCTGACACCCACAACAAAGAAAAGCAGCTCATGATCTTCTCTGCAGTAAATCTCACTGGGTCCCTCCTTACCATCTTCATCTCCTACATTTGCATCCTCTTTTCCATTATAAAAATCCAGTCTTCCGAGGGCAAGTGCAGAGCATTTTCCACCCGTGCCTCCCACCTCACTGTCGTCACCATCTTTTATGGCACACTGTTTTTCATGTACCTGCAGCAACCAAAAGCGGGGAATTCATGGAAGCCAAACAAAGTAGTCTCTGTGTTTTATAGTCTTGTAATTCCCATGCTTAACCCTCTTATCTATCGCCTGAGAAACACAGAAGTAAAGGATGCCCTGAAAAAAATGCTAGAGGGCAAAGAGTTATAGTGAGTGAGTTAATGGAACGCAGCATACTGAAAGTTTGATATATTGACAAGGTAATGTCTCTAATTAAGTTTACATTTAGCAGGCCAACTGCTGTCCAATCAGGAAGCAAACAGTAATCCAATTTGGGAATTTTAATGACCAAAGTACTGGGTCACTTATTTAACATAGTAATGTTTAATCCAATTATCGTGAACTATCAAAATTGACTTACAAGCTAGAATGTCAATAACTGTGTCCTTCATGTGCTGAAGAAGAAATGGCTTACTACCAATTAAATAATAATATAAGCTCTATATTAAAAAAGATCCTGAAAAGCAACATTCTGGGTGAAACTATAATTTAACAAAGCTGGGTACAAAACCCACACATGAAAATCGATGTTATAAGAAACACTTTTCAGTTTACAACAGGCTGTATTGTAGAGAGTAATTTGTTAGTCTTAGAACATATTTCTTCATAACACTTTGCTACAGACGGTGATTAAGTTTCAAGACCAGCTTACAAAAACCTTATTTAATCTAAATGTAATTGAAATACTGCATGCTTTAAATAAACAATAGAAAATATAGTATTGCAGCAACAGTGGGGGGAGAAAAGAACAACAAAAAAAAAAACACTGGGATTCAATTAGATGGGGGGGTTGTTTAGAAAAGAAAGTTTAATTAAAAGAGATAAAGAGAAGGTTTAGGAAACTTTTAGAGATGTTAAAAATAGTCATTTTTTCAACAGCCAGGGTTCAATTTTTCTAGTCTCTGGAAAGTGGAGCCATAGTGAGTTTTTTGGGAGGGGGTGAGGGGTGAGTAGGGAGAAAAAGGAATGGAAAGAGGGAACATTTGGGGAAGTAATCAGGCCTGGGTATATGTGAATGTTTCTAAGAAACAAAATTATTGTCTTAATTAATTTGAATGATCTAGAGAAATACTTTAGTTTTGCAACATTTTCCATGTTCTTTATTTTTGTTTTCACAGATCCAGCATTCCAATTTCTTGGAAATAAGGCTATATGAATTCTTGGTGTTTTGGGGGATAGGTGAAAGAAAAATCTCTAATTTTTTTTCATTTAGGCAAAAATATGAGCACTCTTTGTTTTGGGGTTTTTTTTGTTTGTTTTTTGTTTTTTTGAGATGGAGTCTCACTCTGTCACCCAGCCTGCAGTGCAGTGGCACAATCTTGGCTCACTGCAACCTCTGCCTCCCGGGTTCAAGTGATCTTCCTCAGCCTCCTGAGTAGCTGGGACTACAGGCGTGCGCCACCACGCCCGGCTAATTTTTGTACTTTTAGTAGAGACAGGGTTTCACCATATTGGGCAGGCTGGTCTCGAACTCCTGACCTCGTGATCCATCCACCTCGGCCTCCCAAAGTGCTGGGATTACAGGTGTGAGCCACTGCGCCCAGCCAAGCACTCTACCGTTTTTCTAAGCCTCGATTCTAATACTTCTTTCAAAATAATTCTTAAGGCAAACAAATCTGCCATAAAAATGTTT
The DNA here is from genome assembly GCF_000001405.40 of Homo sapiens. Taxonomy (NCBI): domain Eukaryota; kingdom Metazoa; phylum Chordata; class Mammalia; order Primates; family Hominidae; genus Homo; species Homo sapiens. The sequence continues at coordinate 82,638 of NT_187583.1, forward strand.
ATTTTCCTCCTATTTTCAAAAGTGATTACTGTTAAGTAATTTTTAATGGTTTGTAACATATACTACCAATTAATTACAAGTAAGTTTAAAATTAATCAAAAAAACTAAGAGGTCCCTGTTGTCCCCAAATTAACTCTGCAGATAATAATATGGGATCTTTGTTTTACTGTTGCTTATAATCAGATAATTTAGAAAAATAAAAAGTTAAATATTTACAACTTCTCCTACTTAGTTCAGAAAGCCTTTCCAGATAGTTGAGGTATAAGTTGTATCGCTAAGCATTTGAAGATGGAGTGTTGGCTATGGTTGAAAAGGAAGACACTAGCAGGATAAAGGAACAGAGGGAAGAAAAGCAGGAATTGAGCCAGAGAGGGAGGAGCGGTTGCACAGGTAATGAGCAACAGGGGAACAGGCAAAGTGGAGAGGATAATGCTGAGGGATTATAGGAGCCTGGGTATTAGACCAGGAGCTCCCCCTTGAGACCAAGCAAATTATCTTCTTCACTTTGTACCCCAGCACCTTCTGCAGTTCCTGGCATAAAATAGATGCACAATAACTGTTTGCTGAACTGAATTGAACTCGTTTGTGTTTATTCCTAACTCTCATGGGTGGGTAGACATGGTGCCCAGCAATGGTCCTGCGGTTTGGAAGTGACAGAGAAAAGGAAGCCAGTGGGGTTATGACTGGAAGACTGTTTTTCAATATTCTCATAATGAAACTAACATCCATGAGGTGGGAAGACATACAAAGGCAACAGCGCAACCTGACCAGAGAAAGAGAAGTTGGTACATTGGGAAGATGGCACGAGCTGGAGCTGTCGACAGACCATAACAATCAACGAACAACTGCTGCGGAACAAAGGTTGCTACTAACTGAGATAAAGATGAACACGGACCAACATTTAGATGGAAAATTGTGCTTTCAATCATAAGCCATGTCTATTTCTTAAACTTATTTCTCAAACTCTCTATGTCAGTTTAATTTAGAAAGTGAAAAATAACCATGCACTAGATATCACGTTTCAATACATGCCTCTCAGCAAATGAATTCTATTCATGTTTTCAAAGGAATATTCGGTCTAAAAGTTTCATCAGTTTTCAGTTCTTTTCAAGGAAACCTGAATAAAATGTTACAAGACCTCCCCATAATACCTTCCCAGCTGTTGAATTTGTACACTTGGCTCAACACGCCTCCTTGATTACTCTGTAAAACAAAGCATAAAATTGAGAATATTGTATTCATAGATTGCAAAGAATATAAATCTACATTTTACTAAATTTCCCAGAAACTCGAAAAGCAAATAGGCATGAGAAAAGGTCAGAATCAGCTAATTTTTGAGCTAATAATTCCTATTTTCTTTTCCCATTGAGACTCAGCCTTATACATTTATCTCCCTGACTCTGGCCTTATGAAGTAAGAAAGGTCTCAGGTGAAAAATTCTCAAATTAATTATTTGCGTTAAAAAATAGAGTGCTGTATATATGTATAGTATTAATATGATAATATATAATCCACAAGAGAAACAAATATAATTATACACCTTTGTTTCCTTATAAAGTGAGGCTGTTTCAGTCAATACGCAGAATAATTACACTAATCATTCAGCCCAAAGTAAATATCTTCTGAATATGTAAATGTCACCAAAATAATGGCAGATTTATCAGAATTTAAGACTGCAACATTTTGCTGAAAGTGAAAATAAACTCTTCTCACATGTAAATAAACAGCGTATTTGTCTTCCTTTGTTAATAATCCTAAAACTGAATGTTATTTGCCAGCATTCGCCACTTAGACTTTTCATTAACAAATATGATATGTATCTGAAATACTCATTTGGACATAAAATGCTGAATTTTTCAACTGGTATAGATTTCAACTTCTTATTTCTCTTCATTTTATACTCTATTGATTTGTCATGCTTGGAAACATGCCAAATGAATTGTTTTATTATTCCAATCAAAATAAGGAACCATGAGAGGGAACCATATTATTCTTTTCCATTTTCTTTCATATTATTTGATGTATTAGAATTTCAGAAATGTAAGCATTTTAAAAATCTCAAATATGTGCCCCCAAATTTTCAACTCTGCCCTGGATGTATCATTCTAGCATTCTTTGGTGAACAAGATTGAATAGAAAAGTGCTGATTCAGTGCTCAAGAGTGGCTCCACCTGCAACTAAGTGGTGCATCCACCAGCGATAAAGAGGCCACTGATGTCAGAACTTCAGGAGTTTAGGCTCCTGGGAAAGTGACAGATTTAGCCTACTCTTCCTAGCCAGCTTGCTCCAAAAATATAAACCTTTTATAAATAACTGGAACTTCCATGTCCGGTAAGACAGGAAAAACTAGAGAAGGGAAAAGATCATCTTTAATTTTTAAAAACTAAGTAAGTATCTCTTAGGCCTTGGCAGAAACTATCCTAATAGAGACAGTTTCCAGAAGGTCTTATTCTGTGGCCTAAAACAAAAATGTTTTATTCCCTCAAGCTTCCTTTTTTTTTTTTTTTTTTGCCAATAACTTAATAGTTTGTTAGTCAATAATATTACAAATATTTTAAAATTATTTAATATAAATAGTTGGCAGCAAACCATTCCATTACAGAGTTAAATTACCAGTACAACAGACAGACTGGAGATTTAGACACCTGGAAGATAACAATAAAATAAGCTAAAATATTTAGCAAAAAATTTAAACTGAAGGCGTTTACCTAGTGTCCATAAAAGCACAAGCTTACTTTCTTTGCTTGGGCGTGTTGGCCACTCAGGCACCTGGACACCTACGAACCTGCAGCTTCTGCTCCTCATTGAAAGGCAGTCTTGTTTGCCAGCCACGTTGGATGTGGCATGAGGAGAAGGACAGTCAATGAGCCAGCCAGGCTCCAGCACTCTCCTGCCCACCTCTGCCTCACCCTCAGCTGGGGATGCTACGTGACTACAGCTTTCTCATATTTAGGCAAGAGTACAGAGAGCTCTCAGGTCCATCTCTGGGTTTCTCCTAAAAGCTTTTTATTTCATTGTTATTGTCTTTCCTCTTTAGAAAGAGCCACTTTTAACCATTTTTATTCTTATCATGTCATATTTCATGTGAAAGTTATAAATAGTATTTCACTTATTTGCTTTGGCAAAAGTAGCTACTAGCTTTCCTTAGACATCTTTCAAATGGAGAGTTTAAACTAGTGTTAACTGTAATAAAGGAGCAAATTGAAAGGAAATTCTAATTAATGTTGCTTGTGTTGGGGAGTAGTCATTTTATGAAGAAAGGTTGAAATGTCTTCTTAAAATTTTGGACTATCTTTTCTTATATTTACCACAAATCACGGATAATTCTCAAGTGTTCACAGTCTCAAAATAGCAACTCTATTAGCTTTAATCTAAGAATACAGTTCTCTGCTCTGCTTTATTTAATTAGGTGTTAAAACACAATCTGTTAAGCCTTTATCTCCTGACATATTCCTATTTTCCTATATATTAAATTGTTAAATTTATCAAAAGAAGGCTGTCGGTATGATCACTTCATTAAACCTGTAACTGACTCCTGATAATGCCTATCAGTCCACACTTTAGACATGTATAATAGAGCACATCAGTAGACACCTGCAAACCAAGTAAGCAGAATAAATCATGCTGAGCCTGAAAAAAATGCATGTTCTTGGAGGTAAAGATTTTGCTTACCAAAAATAAAGTATGGTCTCAAAAAGCAGACGCTCAAAGCCTGTGGAAGCAGTGGTGATGTACTAGGAAGAGGAATAGATTGGGAAACTCACAGTCTGATCTTGAGTCCTTTGTATGCTCTGACCTGTGGTATCAGTCAAGTGGCTTGACCCGTCTAGCCTTAACTTTTTCATCTGGAAAATGAGGAAAATTGTACCTCAAAGAGCTGCCAAACAGACAAAATAGTCTACGGTATGCTAAAACATATTTTAAACATTATAAAAGTATAAAGCTTTTATTTTTAATAACCAGACTTTACCATGATTAGTGTTTAACTTTTAGAGTCTTTGATTTGAAGTGTTTGGGAAATCCTTGCTGGAAAACGTTTTTATATCTACCTATGTGACAAAATATAGAAGTTGCATACGTGTCCAATAATGCATTTTCTTTATGCATGACTGGAAGAAATTAATGCAGCCCATTTCCAACTTACAGGAGTTCTGGTCCCACTGTCTGTTCGCAAGTCAATGATCTGGAACATGGAGACTGTCCCCTGGACACAAAGTTGTCTTCTTAACTAATAATAAATGTTCACAGACATTTCTTTGACCCTAAACCACTACAGCTCACACATTTCCATAGCGGACACTAGAAACGTTTTTCTTGTTACTGCTGCAGTTCTGAAAGGCAGCATTTGTCCCCCATGTCTGTGACTGCTCTGAGCTTCTGCTGGTCTCACCCAGCCTCTGAAAAGACATTAGCGGTAAGCTGTAGGAGGCAGGCCAGGGTGTTCTATGGGGAAGGGGTAAGAGTAAGAGACCTTTTCCTTGGTCTCTGCTTGGACTAGCAATAAGCCTGGCAGAAGCTGAGGGAAAGTAGCACAAGAGTTAAGGTTCTGCAGAAGCCTCTTCCCCTACCTTCTTTCCCTTCCTGTGCTCTCTACCTTCCCCAAGCAGGGCTGCTAGGATGAGAATTCCACCGCCTCTCTAACTCTAGGAGGAGGGTGATGAGGAGCCTGAGATATGAGGATCCAAGGCTGGGTAGGAGGAGAGAAAAGGGGGCAGGGAAGAGGGCCGGGGAGAAGATGATGTGCTATTCTGAGATTCTGTGGAGATGCTGGCTATTGCTTTACTCTTTTGAGAAAGAGTAAAATCTCTCAAGTGTTGACGAACCATCCAGGAAAATGCAGTGTTGCCTGTTAGAGTAAATAAAGTAGTTACAGTAGATATGTAACAAAAGTTAACTGAATCTAGATTTAATCTGCTCCCTGCTTCTCTCTCTCTCTCTCTCTCTCTCTCTCTCTCCCCCCCTCCCTCCCTCCCTTCTTCCCTCCCTCCCTCCCTCTCTCCCCACCACACCACAGATACTCTATTGGGACCACAAATTCAAAATCCTAATGATTAAATTGATCGTCATCTTCTACTTCACAGCCAACTACTCCTGCTTTCCCTATTTTTGTACATGACAATTTTCCCCAGTCATCTAGTTCAAAAACTATGTAGTTTCTCCTTATTACCTCATATTTCAAAGAGGAGACAAGACTTATCTATTATTCATCTATGCATTCATGCAAGATTTCTTGCACTAATCCTTTTCCTTTTCATTGCTACTAGCAGCTTTATCATTACTTTGCACCTGGACCTCCCTGGTATCTCTGCATCTAACCTCTTCACATCAAAGATCCTCAGTAGATTCATGTATGTATAACATATAATAATATCACCATTCCAGATCAGTGAGGGAAAAGATGGATTTATCGTAAATTAGAGAAAATGCAAGCCACAACACAGTTACTTTTTCTTATACTCTATATCAAAATAAATTCAACATTGATCAGATCTTAAGGTAACAAATGAAACCTTAAAAGCGCTTGAATAAAATATTGCTGAATATTTGCTAGGCTTGGAATAAGAAAAGCTTATCCAAGAAAAGAATTAAGTTCAGAAGTTGCAAATAAAAAGTGTGAAAGATTTGATGAAATCAAAAATTTTAATGTTTATTACAATAATTAGTAAAAAAAAATCAAATGGGAAAATATTCACTATATATGACAGAATTAATACAGACAAATAAGATAAATCAGTGAAAGTATAGTTACAAGATATGAATGGATAACTCACAAAATAGGAAATATAAATGGCCTTTGATATGCAAAATATTTCACTCTCATTGTAATCAATAAAATACAAATTAACATAATATCATTTTCCCCTTTCAGACTGGCAAAGATGTTAACAAATATTAATAACCAGGATGACACTGTAGAGAAAGAGGAAACACAGTGTAAATTGGCATAAAATTTCCAGAGGGCACTTTGACAACACTCATCAAAAGCCTTAAAATTAAGCATCCTTTGATCTAGCAATTTCCTTTACAATAATTTGTTTGATGAAAGTACTCCAACAAATTCATGAAGATCTGTGTATTTAGCATTTACTGTTAGTGATTATAATAGTAAAAAAACAGTATTAATATAAAAAAATCAATGGAGGATTGATTAAATTAAGGATTAGTGACACAATAGCATGTAATGCATCAATTATTTATTGTTATGAAAATGCTCATGATATATGTGCAAATGATTTCAAATTATGTGTATGATTTTTTTAATTACATATGTGAAATATGTAAAGATACAGAGATTGCTGGTAGTGGTTGGTGTTGGTTATTTCTGGGTGATAGAATCCCAGACGCTTTTTACTGATTATTTATAAATAAACAGAAATTAAGAAATCGATCCCATTTGGGAAATAGTCTTAAATCTTCAGTTGAGATTTTACCCTATATTAACTCCAAAGTTATATATACCCTATATTAACTCCAAACTAGGGACCCTCCTAGTGACCAATGTCAAGCCTACAGGCAGGGGCCAAATTGAAAGGTTGCTACCATAATCTAAATGTATAGTGAGCGAATAATGCTAGTGAAAGAGACAGAGAATGAGCCAATACAGGTGTCAAAGTTGATGCTGGAGTTTTAGACCTGTCTGACTAGGAGGCTGTTGGCCCAAAGAAGAGATGGTTAACAGAAAGATGCTGGGTCTTTAAGTGCCCAACACAGAGCCTTAAACATAGCAGCCATTCAAAATTTTTTTAATGGAAGAATGTAGTTCCAGATGATTTCTTATTATGATCAGTATATATGCTCTGTACAAAGTATTTTCTGGAGATTCCAAGAAGGCTCTAATAGAGGCAGTTTGATCAACACAAGAAACACCAAAATGGGAGTCAGGAGACCTCTTTTACCCATCTCCTAGCTGCATGTTTCTGAGCAAATCACTTCACCCTTTAAGGAGTCCGCATTCTGCACAGGCATTTGAATGCTACTGTTTTAGAGAGATCTTCCCTGATTTCCGGTCCTCAAGAAAAAGAAAGTAGCTGAGTCCTCCTGTTCTCACTTGTCTGGTTGTCAGAATCCAGTTGGCGCCTAGGAATTCACAAATCTCTGTCCTTCTTGTCTGGACTTGCCACTGATATAGTTAGTTCCCTTATCACGTTTTGGACTTAACTGACATAAAGAATACGCTAAGGAACCTGCTCAGAACATCGCAGGATATTGAGCTGGGCCTCTACAAAGGGTCTTAAACCCTGCGCTTAACATTCATTGGGCTCTTACTACCCTTTAGGCCCTGCTCTAAGCACTTTGCATACATGAGTATATCTCACTTCATCATTACTTAGCAAAAGCCGTTCTGATTAACCATAACACAGATAAGTAAAGTGGAGCTTAAAGAAACGAAATGATGGATCCTGGATCACATAGTGTGGAAATGGTGGAGGCCAGATTCAGACCCAGGAAGGAGACTGGCAGAGGTTTAACAGGTGCAGACGCTGCAAGATCTGCACAAGAGGCCATAAGAGGTTTTACAGCTTTCTTCACTGAAGTTTTTCACTGTACTTCATTACACAGTGTATACTTATATCAAGTTATTACATTGTACTCCTTGACAAATTTTTATTTGTCAACTAAATATGTTTTAAGAGAATAAAAAAAAGAAAGAATGGGAAATATAGTGAACTGGCTGACCTGTTATAGGAGTGTGGACTAATAATAGCACAAATGCCCTCTGATTCATGGTGTATGTCTAAATGATGGGGCTAGATTCAGGCTCCAAATTGCTTCCCTGGAGCACTGCGGTGGGCTGTGGCCTATTGTTCCTATGTCCACAGGGATTGTACTGCTCCCCACTGTCCTCACCAGTGAAAAGCCCAGAGCTGGGCTTGGATTGCTGACAGGGCTGGCCTAGGCATCAGCCTGTTTGCAACAGGGACCAATGCACAGCAAAGCTTTTCACACTCTGCCATCTGAACCAGAAGCCTAGCTTGCTTTTGTCGAGAGTGTTCTTAGGTACATAAATATAACAAGGAATTAAATAAAGCACATCTGCAGATTTCCTTCAGGCTTTACATATTCTCTTCCAAATACACGCCTGAGTCTCCAAGGGACAAGCACTGGCTCACCTTTCCTGAGCCAGCTGGTAAATAATTTGTATCAGAGTAGATGTCTGAACCCTACAATTCTTGTCACTTCCATATTCTCCATATCCTTTTTTTTAAAATATTCTCCATATTCTTAAGCTGCAGAGTCAAATTACTGTCATGATGCAAAAAACACCACAGTAGACACAATTTTTTTTGACAATTTAAATCCTATTTGAACCTCTCAGTTTTGGAGTGAAAACTAACTTTTGAGATGTGATAGATGAGAACCTAACAATTGCTAAAATCCTGGAATAGAAATAAAAGAAAGGAACTGCCTCTAAAACCTTACAAACTTTGCTTAATTAGTAAAGGAGCAACAAACAATTCATAAGCCCCTACAATAAACATCACACTAAGAAAAAACATTTTACTTAAGAGCCTTTAAAACATTCAAAAAATAATGTTCCACAATAAACATACGTGGGAATGTGTCTTTATAGTAGCATGATTTATAATCCTTTGAGTACATACCCAGTAATGGGATTGCTGGGTCAAATGGTATTTCTGGTTCTAGATCCTTGAGGAAATCATCACACTGTCTTCCACAATGGTTGAACTAATTTACACTCCCACCAACAGTGTAAAAGCATTCCTATTTCTCCACAGTCTTGCCAGCATCTGTTGTTTCCTGAGTTTTTAACGATTGCCTTCTAACTGGCGTGAGATGGTATCTCATTGTGGTTTTGATTTGCTTTCTCTAATGACCAGTGAAGAATGAGTTCATGTCCTTTGCAGAGACATGGATGAAGCTGGAAACCATCATCCTCAGCAAACTAACACAGGAACAGAAAACCAAACACTGCATGTTCTCACCCATAAATGGGAGTTGAACAATGAGAACACATGGACACAGGGAGGGGAACATCACACACCAGGGCCTACTGGGGGTGGGGGCAAGGGGAGGGAGAGCACTAGGGCAAATACCTAATGCATGGGGGGCTTCAAACCTAGATGACGGGTTGATGGGTGCAGCAAACCACCATGGCACATGTATACCTATGTAACAAAACTGTACATTCTGCACATGTATACCAGAACTTAAAGTAAAATTTAAAAAAGTTCCTAGTTTTGATACCTGAAAAAACTTTGCAGAATTCAAACACATTAGAATAAAATTTGATTTTAAAATATTGATTTAAAAGTTGAGTTGAACTAAACTGTCCGATGTATTACACACTCCTGATGATTTCAAGTCTAATATTTTAGACTTCCTTGAATTAAATATACTACCTACAAATTATCATTTTAAAATAACTATTTAAAAAATATCTGTGGCATTGAAGCTAGAAGCCACTTACTGGCATGTTTTTGCTATCTTGAATGTGTTGTTATCAGGTTCACACAGTGGTATAAATGGGGGGAGTTTGTTGAATCTGAGTTTTACATAACTTGAGAAAATGGGTTCTTGCAACTTTCCTCTGGGATTTAATACTAATCCTGTTACTGAGGAAATGATGAGGATATTATTCGAAAAGTCACAGCACTGATACCCTCTTGAAAAACATGAGCACTGTGGCCACAGTGCATTCTATTCTTTCTAGCCTCTGTAAACTCCAGGTAACTCACAGGTTATTTTCGCTCTCAGTAGATAGTTTTATTTGCATACCTTTTCTTAATTATAAAAGGAACATCAGCCTGAAATTACAAGCCCAGTAGAAAGAGTGTTTTAAGCAGAGGGAACAGCAGGCTGAGGGGCCCAGATGACAGAGAATATGTACTGGAAGAACTGAAAGTCGAGGAGAAAGGTGCTGAATTAGAAAGTACAAACTAGGGGGAGGAGCCAAGATGGCTGAATAGGAACAGTTCCCGTCTACAGCTCCCAGCATGAGCGACACAGAAGACGGTGATTTCTGCATTTCCATCTGAGGTACCGGGTTCATCTCACTAGGGAGTGCCAGACAGTGGGCGCAGGTCAGTGGGTGCGCGCACCGTGCACGAGCCGAAGCAGGTCGAGGCATTGCTTCACTTGGGAAGCGCAAGGGGTCAGGGAGTTCCCTTTCTGAGTCAAAGAAAGGGGTGACGGACGGTACCTGGAAAATCGGGTCACTCCCACCCAAATACTGCGCTTTTCCGACGGGCTTAAAAAACGGTGCACCACGAGATTATATCCCGCACCTGGCTTGGAGGGTCATACACCCACGGAGTCTCTGATTGCTAGCACAGCAGTCTGAGATCAAACTGCAAGGCGGCAGCAAGGCTGGGGGAGGGGCGCCCGCCATTGCCCAGGCTTGATTAGGTAAACAAAGCAGCCTGGAAGTTCCAACTGGGCGGAGCCCACCACAGCTCAAGGAGGCCTGCCTGCCTCTGTAGGCTCCACCTCTGGGGACAGGGCACAGACAAACAAAAAGACAGCAGTAACCTCTGCAGACCTAAATGTCCCTGTCTGACAGCTTTGAAGAGAGCAGTGGTTCTCCCAGCATGCAGCTGGAGATCTGAGAACGGGCAGACTGCCTCCTCAAGTGGGTCCCTGACCCCTGACCCCCGAGCAGCCTAACTGGGAGGCACTCCAAAGGAGGGGCACACTGACACCTCACACTGCAGGGTATTCCAACAGACCTGCAGCTGAGGGTCCTGTCTGTTAGAAGGAAAACTAACAAACAGAAAGGACATCCACACCAAAAACCCATCTGTACATCACCATCATCAAAGACCAAAAGTAGATAAAACCACAAAGATGGGGAAAAAACAGAACAGAAAAACTGGAAACTCTAAAACGCAGAGCGCCTCTCCTCCTCCAAAGGAACGCAGTTCCTCACCAGCAACGGAACAAAGCTGGATGGAGAATGACTTTGACGAGCTGAGAGAAGAAGGCTTCAGACGATCAAATTACTCTGAGCTATGGGAGGACATTCAAACCAAAGGCAAAGAAGTTGAAAACTTTGAAAAAAATTTAGAAGAATGTATAACTAGAATAACCAATACAGAGAAGTGCTTAAAGGAGCTGATGGAGCTGAAAACCAAGGCTCGAGAACTACATGAAGAATGCAGAAGCCTCAGGAGTCAATGCAATCAACTGGAAGAAAGGGTATCAGTGATGGAAGATGAAATGAATGAAATGAAGCGAGAAGGGAAGTTTAGAGAAAAAAGAATAAAAAGAAATGAACAAAGCCTCCAAGAAATATGGGACTATATGAAAAGACCAAATCTACGTCTGATAGGTGTACCTGAAAGTGATGGGGAGAATGGAACCAAGTTGGAAAACACTCTTCAGGATATTACCCAGGAGAACTTCCCCAATCTAGCAAGGCAGGCCAACGTTCAGATTCAGGAAATACAGAGAACACCACAAAGATACTCCTAGAGAAGAGCAACTCCAAGACACATAATTGTCAGATTCACCAAAGTTGAAATGAAGGAAAAAATGTTAAGGGCAGCCAGAGAGAAAGGTCGGGTTACCCTCAAAGGGAAGCCCATCAGACTAACAGCGGATATCTCGGGCAGAAACCCTACAAGCCAGAAGAGAGTGGGGGCCAATATTCAACATTCTTAAAGACAAGAATTTTCAACCCAGAATTTCATATCCAACCAAACTAAGCTTCATAAGCGAAGGAGAAATAAAATACTTTGCAGACAAGCAAATGCTGAGACATTTTGTCACCACTAGGCCTGCCCTAAAAGAGCTCCTGAAGGAAGCGCTAAACATGGAAAGGAACAACCGGTACCAGCCGCTGCAAAATCATGCCAAAATGTGAAGACCATCAAGACTAGGAAGAAACTGCATCAACTAACGAGCAAAATAACCAGCTAACATCATAATGACAGGATCAAATTCACACATAACAGTATTAACTTTAACTGTAAATGGACTAAATGCTCCAATTAAAAGACACAGACTGGCAAATTGCATAAAGAGTCAAGACCCATCAGTGTGCTGTATTCAGGAAACCCATCTCACGTTCAGAGACACACATAGGCTCAAAATAAAAGGATGGAGGAAGATCTACCAAGCAAATGGAAAACAAAAAAAGGCAGGGGTTGCAATACTAGTCTCTGATAAAACAGACATTAAACCAACAAAGATCAAAAGAGACAAAGAAGGCTATTACATAATGGTAAAGGGATCAATTCAACAAGAAGAGCTAACTATCCTAAATATATATGCACCCAATACAGGAGCACCAAGATTCATGAAGCAAGTCCTGAGTGACCTACAAAGAGACTTAGACTCCCACACATTAATGATGGGAGACTTTAACACCCCACTGTCGATATTAGACAGATCAATGAGACAGAAAGTCAACAAGGATACCCAGGAATTGAACTCAGCTCTGCACCAAGTGGACCTAATAGACATCTACAGAACTCTCCACCCCAAATCAACAGAATATACATTTTTTTCAGCACCACACCACACCTATTCCAAAATTGACCACATAGTTGGAAGTAAAGCTCTCCTCAGCAAATGTAAAAGAACAGAAATTATAACAAACTATCTCTCAGACCACAGTGCAATCAAACTAGAACTCAGGATTAAGAATCTCACTCAAAACCACTCAACTACATGGAAACTGAACAACCTGCTCCTGAATGACTACTTGGTACATAACGAAATGAAGGCAGAAATAAAGATGTTCTTTGAAACCAATGAGAACAAAGACACAACATACCAGAATCTCTGGGACGCATTCAAAGCAGTGTGTAGAGGGAAATTTATAGCACTAAATGCCCACAGGAGAAAGCAGGAAAGATCCAAAATTGACACCCTAACATCACAATTAAAAGAACTAGAAAAGCAAGAGCAAACACATTCAAAAGCTAGCAGAAGGCAAGAAATAACTAAAATCAGAGCAGAACTGAAGGAAATAGAGACACAAAAAACCCTTCAAAAAATTAATGAATCCAGGAGCTGGTTATTTGAAAGGATTAACAAAATTGATAGACCGCTAGCAAAACTAATAAAGAAAAAAAGAGAGAAGAATCAAATACACGCAATAAAAAATGATACAGGGGATATCACCACCGATCCCACAGAAATACAAACTACCATCAGAGAATACTACAAACACCTCTACGCAAATAAACTAGAAAATCTAGAAGAAATGGATAAATTCCTCGACACATACACTCTCCCAAGACTAAACCAGGAAGAAGTTGCATCTCTGAATAGACCAATAACAGGAGCTGAAATTGTGGCAATAATCAATAGCTTACCAACCAAAAAGAGTCCAGGACCAGATGGATTCACAGCCGAATTCTACCAGAAGTACAAAGAGGAACTGGTACCATTCCTTCTGAAACTATTCCAATCAATAGAAAAAGAGGGAATCCTCCCTAACTCATTTTATGAGGCCAGCATCATTCTGATACCAAAACCTGGCAGAGACACAACCAAAAAAGAGAATTTTAGACCAATATCCTTGATGAACATTGATGCAAAAATCCTCAATAAAATACTGGCAAAACGAATCCAGCAGCACATCAAAAAGCTTATTCACCATGATCCAGTGGGCTTTATCCCTGGGATGCAAGGCTGGTTCAATATACACAAATCAATAAATGTAATCCAGCATATAAACAGAGCCAAGGACAAAAACCACATGTTTATCTCAATAGATGCAGAAAAAGCCTTTGACAAAATTCAACAACCCTTCATGCTAAAATCTCTCAATAAATTAGGTATTGATGGGACGTATTTCAAAATAATAAGAGCTATCTATGACAAACCCACAGCCAATATCATACTGAATGGGCAAAAACTGGAAGCATTCCCTTTGAAAACGGGCACAAGACAGGGATGCCCTCTCCCACCACTCCTATTCAACATAGTGTTGGAAGTTCTGGCCAGGGCAATCAGGCAGGAGAAGGAAATAAAAGGTATTCAATTAGGAAAAGAGGAAGTCAAATTGTCCCTGTTTGCAGATGACATGATTGTATATCTAGAAAACCCCATTGTCTCAGCCCAAAATCTCCTTAAGCTGATAAGCAACTTCAGCAAAGTCTCAGGATACAAAATCAATGTACAAAAATCACAAGCATTCTTATACACCAGCAACAGACAAACAGAGAGCCAAATCATGAGTGAACTCCCATTCACAACTGCTTCAAAGAGAATAAAATACCTAGGAATCCAACTTACAAGGGATGTGAAGGACCTCTTCAAGGAGAACTACAAACCACTGCTCAAGGAAATAAAAGAGGATATAAACAAATGGAAGAACATTCCATGCGCATGGGTAGGAAGAATCAATATGATGAAAATGGTCATACTGCCCAAGGTAATTTACAGATTCAATGCCATCCCCATCAAGCTACCAATGACTTTCTTCACAGAATTGGAAAAAACTACTTTAAAGTTCATATGGAACCAAAAAAAGAGACCGCATCACCAAGTCAATCCTAAGCCAAAAGAACAATGCTGGAGGCATCACACTACCTGACTTCAAACTATACTACAAGGCTACAGTAACCAAAACAGCATGGTACTGGTACCAAAACAGAGATATAGATCAATGGAACAGAACAGAGCCCTCAGAAATAACGCCACATATCTACAACTATCTGATCTTTGACAAACCTGAGAAAAACAAGCAATGGGGAAAGGATTCCCTATTTAATAAATGGTGCTGGGAAAACTGGCTAGCCATATGTAGAAAGCTGAAACTGGATCCCTTCCTTACACCTTATACAAAAATCAATTCAAGATGGATTAAAGAGTAAAAGGTTAGACCTAAAACCATAAAAACCCTAGAAGAAAACCTAGGCATTACCATTCAGGACATAGGCATGGGCAAGGACTTCATGTCTAAAACACCAAAAGCAATGGCAACAAAAGACAAAATTGACAAATGGGATCTAATTAAACTAAAGAGCTTCTGCACAGCAAAAGAAACTACCATCAGAGTGAACAGGCAACCTACAAAATGGGAGAAAATTTTCGCAACCTACTCATCTGACAAAGGGCTAATATCCAGAATCTACAATGAACTCAAACAAATTTACAAGAAAAAAACAAACAACCCCATCAAAAAGTGGGTGAAGGACGTGAACAGACACTTCTCAAAGGAAGACATTTATGCAGCCAAAAAACACATGAAAAAATGCTCATCATCACTGGCCATCAGAGAAATGCAAATCAAAACCACAATGAGATACCATCTCACACCAGTTAGAATGGCAATCATTAAAAAATCAGGAAACAACAGGTGCTGGAGAGGATGTGGAGAAATAGGAACACTTTTACACTGTTGGTGGGACTGTAAACTAGTTCAACCATTGTGGAAGTCAGTGTGGCGATTCCTCAGGGATCTAGAACTGGAAATACCATTTGACCCAGCCATCCCATTACTGGGTATATACCCAAAGGACTATAAATCATGCTGCTATAAAGACACATGCACACGTATGTTTATTGTGGCATTATTCACAATAGCAAAGACTTGGAACCAACCCAAATATCCAACAATGATAGACTGGATTAAGAAAATGTGGCACATATACACCATGGAACACTATGCAGCCATAAAAAAGGATGAGTTCATGTCCTTTGTAGGGACATGGATGAAATTGGAAACCATCATTCTCAGTAAACTATCGCAAGAACAAAAAACCAAACACCGCATATTCTCACTCATAGGTGGGAATTGAACAATGAGATCACATGGACACAGGAAGGGGAATATCACACTCTGGGGACTGTTGTGGGGTGGGGGGAGGGGGGAGGGATAGCATTGGGAGATATACCTAATGCTAGATGACGAGTTAGTGGGTGCAGTGCACCAGCATGGCACATGTATACATATGTAACTAACCTGCACAATGTGCACATGTACCCTAAAACTTAAAGTATAATAAAAAAAAGAAAAGAAAGTACAAACTAGGGAATGGCAGGAATTGAGGCTATAGATGCTGTGAAGGACAGATGATGCAAGGCCATATTAAGGAGTTTGGACTTTATCCTAAAAGCAATGTGAATTTACTAGACTTTCAAGCAGAGGACTAACAGACAAAAATGCATTTTAGAAAGGTTAGTCTGACCAGTGTGGGAGGTGAACAAGACAGAGATAAGACTAAAGGCAAAAAGAATTATTACAGTTATGCTCACGTAGCAGTCATACAAGAGCAAGATGATGGGATGAACAATAATGATGGGATGGAGAGACATGGATTTTTTTTTTTTTTTTTTTTTTTGGAGACAGAGTCTTGCTCTGTCGCCAGGCTCGAGTGCAGTGGTGCAATATAGCTCGCTGCAACCTCCGCCTCCCAGGTTCAAGGGATTCTCCTGCCTCAACCTCCCGAGTAGCTAGGACTACAGGCCCCTGCCACCACGCCCAGCTAATATTTTGTATTTTTAGTAGAGATGGGGTTTCACCATGTTAGCCAGGACAGACTCGATCTCCTGACCTCGTGACCCGCCCGCCTCAGCCTCCCAAAGTGCTGGGATTACAGGCGTGAGCCAGCGCGCCCAGCCAGGTTTTAAAAAAAATTATGAATTACTTACATGCTATATTTTTGCCATCACTTTATTGCTAAAATTTATCAGTTATTTTGCTTTAGTTGAGTCCCTTGTAAACAGCTTATATTTAAATTTTACTTTTGATATAATTTGAGAATATTCATCTTTTAATTCAAATCTAAATTACTCACATTTATTTTTATAAATATGGCATTTGGTCAAACTTTATCATCATATTTTTCTATTAGTATGTTTTCATTTTCCTAATTTTACACTTTTTTGCTTTTTCTTTTTTCTAACTTTGCGCTAGTGATTATCTTTCCTTCATATTTTACTTGCTAGTTACTGGTTATCTGTGATTTTTTTTGAAAAAGGGTGTCACCCAGGCTAGAGTGCAGTGGTATAATCATGGCTCACTGCAGATTCAACCTCACAGGTTCAAGTGATCCTCTCACCTCAGCCTCCTGAGTAGCTGGGACTACAGACGCGCGCCACCACTCCTAGGTAATTTTAAAAATTTTTGGCTGGGCACGGTGGCTCACGCCTGTAATCCCAGCACACTGGGAGGCCGAGGCGGGCAGATCATGAGGTCAGGAGATCAAGAACATCCTGGCTAGCATGGTGAAACCTCGTCTCTACTAAAAATACAAAAAAAAATTAGCCGGATGTGGTGGCGGGCACCTGTAGTCCCAGCTACTCGGGAGGCTGAGGCAGGAGAATGGCCTGAACCCGGGAGGCGGAGCTTGCAGTGAGCCGAGATCGCGCCACTGCACTCCAGCCTGGGTGACAGAGTGAGACTCTGTCTCAAAAAAACAAACAAACAAAAAAATTTTTAGAGATAGGGTCTCACTATGTCACCCTGCCTGGTCTTGAACTTCTGGGTTCCAGCGATCCTCCTGCCTCAGCCTCCTAAAGTGCTGGGGTTACAGGTGTAAGACACCTCACCCAGCCTGTGATTTTAAACATTGCATTTGAATTTGAATCACTTTCCAGAATACATCATGATTTTTACATACACCCTATAAAAGAAACAGTTTATCACACGTTTGCCTCCTCACTTATCTCCCTATAACCCCAAGTCCCAATGATCTGAATATTTTAGATTCATATCACAATTTTTTTTAACAATGCATCTTCTCTTTTAAAAATCACAGATGGGCTGGGCACAGTGGCTCACGCTTGTAATCCCAGCAGTTTGGGAGGCCTAGGTGGGTGGATTACCTGAAGTCAGGAGTTCAAGACCAGCCTGGCTAATGAGGTGAAACCCCATCTCTACTAAAAATACAAAACTTAGCCAGGTGTTGTGCTGCGCACCTGTAGTCCAAGTTACTCAGGAGGCTGAGGCAGGAGAATTGTTTGAACCTGGGAGGCAGAGGTTGCAGTGAGCCAAGACTGCACCACTGCACTCCAGCCTGGGTGACAGAATGAGACTCCATCCCAACAACAATGACAAAAATCACTTATGAACCTATATGTTATTTCAAAATCATATGAACAGGAATTATTTAAACAATTATTTCAGAGGAGTTATTATTTATCACCTTTTCTTTCTACCACATCTTTCACTTTCTTGAGTCAATCCTTTTTTCTAAATATTTTCTTTAATTTTGTTTTTGTCTGACATTCAATGAGCCTTTCTAACCTGAAGATACGAAGTTTTCATTAGCTCAGGAAACATTTATTTTATTTATTTGTATCATTGATTCCCCTAACTGTTCTGTTCTTTCCTTCTAAAAGAAAAAAAATTTCAGGAACATTTACTCTAGATTTCAATTTTGCTCCAACATTTATTACTGTCTTGAGAACCTCTATGACAATTTAGGTCAAGGGACAATTTATTCAAAAAAGAACAAACCATCTACAAATTCTCTTATCATGTGAGCCTCACTCCCATTCCGCATCCAGTGTGGTTTCCCACAAAGATGTTTGGAGAAGAGAATCAATGGAGGTGGAAATCTTTGGTCCAGCAGTTGGATGAGTCACAGGACCTTTTGGCCCATCTATTTGTTTCAGAAGGAACAAGCATAATATGTGTGTGCAGATTTCAACACTACATGGACAATAGCACAGCTGTTATTGTTGTGTATTCTTCTGCAAGAGGCCATGAACCCAAAAGCCTTGTGGTGAGGGGTTAAGACTAAGATTTTATTTCTTCTTTGTTAGTTGTTCTTTGTTTAGTTTCTTCTTTGTGCTTAAAAATATATGAAGTCATTACATGTGAAAAAAATAGATGTACATTATTTTAAGGTCCCATTCTGTAAAACGTGGTACAAATATGCATTAAATGAGAGACCTCAGTATAATTTAACTATCAGTGTTCAAGTTCAGTTTTTTCAACTCTGTATCTCCTCATTCTTGATTTAATATTTGGTTCATTTCTTGCCAAAATAATTATGTCTTTGAATAACTTTCAATGAAATGTGCATAAATAATTCATTTTCAGAGGCCGTATTTAAGTGAGACTATATCTATTCTCTTATCACATAAATTGCTGGCTCATAAACATTTCCCACAAAGTTCTTTAGACTTCTTGAAACTATTTGATTTCTGTCCCTTGTGAAATTCAAAAACTTCACCAATCTGCCTCCATGTGGGTCTCTTCTCATTATTATTTTTGCCTGAAATACAGGGAATATTCTCATTCTATAGAATCACATTTTTTTAGTTTATGAAATTTTCTTTAATCTATTATGGCTTCTGATTCACAGTAAATAAATGCTTCCTCAGAGATGCCTATTATCTGTATGTTGGATCTTCAGACTCTGTACTCCTTATTTTTCATCATCTCTCTTTCATCATTTTTTGCTCATATTACTTTCTGCATTGTGGAAGAGTCTCTCAACTTTGTGTATCTAGCACTAATTCAATAATATGCAATACCCATGTTTCACTTTCACATAATTAAATAAGTTTAATTATGATCTTTTTAGATTGCTTTTATTATTCTTTCTCTGTTTTAGTCAACCAGTCATTTCACCATTTCATTTCATCTACCATCTCCCCACTAAGATTTTTTTTTTTTTTTTTTTTTTTTTTTTTTGAGACAGAGTCTTGCTCTGTTGCCCAGGCTGGAGTGCAGTGGTGTGATCTTGGCTCACTGCAAGTTCCACCTCCTGGGTTCACACCATTCTCCTGCCTTGGCCTCCCGAGTAGCTAGGACTACAGGCGCCTGCCACCACGCCCAGCTAATTATTTTGTATTTTTAGTAGAGACGGGGTTTCACAGTATTAGCCAGGATGGTCTCGATCTCCTGACCTCGTGATCTGCCCACCTCGGCCTCCCAAAGTGCTGGGATTACAGGCTTGAGCCACCACACCCGGCCAAGATTTTTTATTTTTATCTTTCATGTATTGTTTCATTTAACAATGTTTTGGATTTTTATAAATAAAATGTATGTTGTTTCTAGTATGTTTTATTTTCTTATCATAAAATTTAGTATTTATATTTCTGTGTCTTCAGTAATTAGCCTTACCTAGTCCCTGTACCAATGAAAAAATAGAATGTGTCCATCCACCTCTATTTCTGCAGCACTGCTCTGTGAGTCATGCTGAATACTATTCTTATTTCTGACTTCCTTTGAAATCCTCTTGAACAGAATTGAGCAAGAGGTGAGGCTAGGAAGGGGTGCAGTAATAATGATGGTAGCCACCATGCATTTAGAGTGCTCTAGGCAGAAGCAGACAGGAATGATAGAATTTTATGTGACTCATCTCCTCACAGAAAGTCAATGCAGTGTGAAGAAAATAAAGTTAAATAGAGTAAATATAAACACAGTCAACAGTGTTAAGCCTTTTTAAGCAGAAAAACCCTATTTTTAAAATAAAAATGTCACATAGATTTCCAATAAGAAGAAAAGGAAAAAAGCACACTTAACAATAATTCTTCCATGAACATAAAAGTCACACAAGTTGTATCTGAAACTTGCACTCCATTCCTGTGCCCTACCAGGGTTAAGTCAAAGTATCATGGAGATAAGTATGGAAATAAGGGCCCTCTCCAATCAGAGCTGTCCTCAGAAAAACTGCATAATTATTAATGCTATTATTATTATGCATATTTATTATTAAACCTAGGAAATGAAAAACAAACTGCACATTCAACTCAGAAAGCAAGAAGAACAAAATATATAAAAGTCAAAGTAAGAAGTTATGATAAGAAGAAGAAAACTAGTTAGAAAAACAGGAGTATAATAGGATATACAACTAGTTCTAAAGGCTGGGCCTTCTATTTTAAAACTCATTAAACAGGAAAATCTCCAAAAAATCTAATTAAGAAAAATGCAAAAATTTAAAGACACAATATTAGAAATAAGAAAAAAGCTGTATAGCAGCTACTGAAACTTTAAGAAGTATATAAGAACACAGTACTTAGCACTTGCACTGTGCATAATCACTATTAAAAATAGCAGAAGTGTGGGAGATGTGGAAGTTTTATTTACAAGATTTCCAAATTCGTTCTTTGAGACTAACATAGCCTTGATGTCACAGCCAGAAACACACACACACAAAAACTATAACCCAATATCAGTTGTGAAGATAAAGCCAAAAGTTCTAAGTCCAACACGTGCCATTTGAATTCAATACATTATGTATTAAACAGTCCACACCATGACCAGGTAAGGTTTATTTCAGAGGGTCAGATATGAATAGAAACTATGTCAATTAATTAATTCTACTAAGGAAGAAAAACGAGAAAACATGTTAATTTTAGACTTGAAGCAATAAAAGCATTCTCAAAATGTAAGAAAAAAAGAAAGGCTGTGACCATGATCACAGCCATCAAGCAACATGATCTGGGAGAGGCTAGCTATTGCCTATGATGAAAAACTAATATTATCTTATTTTTATGAATCATAACAAGTAATACAAGGTTATTGTTTTAAAATATTAAACAAATAAATGATATAGACTTCCACAACTCACTTTCTGGAGATAACCACTATTGAACCACTATACATGAAAATATTCATGTATTCTCTTCCAGGGTATTTTTGTTCCTCAAACTTTTAATTGCATCAATAAATATGTGGTTATAGAAACTAAAATATTTTAACAATACATTGAGATAAAAAGTAAAAATCCCTCTTACTCCTCCCTGCTATTACTTACCTCATGGAAACAAGAGTTCACAATTTGATATGCATACTTCTGAAACTCTTCTGCATTTCATATATAGGATATGCAAATATTATCTTTCTTAAATATTTGAGATCTATGATCTATAAATATGTATATATACATATACAAATAACATATATATGCACACATATTATATGTATATATATTTCTCTGCCTTGCTTTTTTCACTTAAATTTAAATCTGAACTCTTTATGCAGCTGAATTAGAGAAGCCCAGCTGGATTTATGACCTAGCAGGTCTTTTGACAGTGCAAAGGCTTCCCCTGCAGGTCTTACTATAGAGAACACAGAATACATTATCTGGTTCGAAGAGAGAATAAATAAATGACTAGTCCAGTCTCTTCTGATCTCACCAATCAGATAAGTCATCACTCTTTTCATGTCTTCACATGTCATTGTGAGATGAAGAGAAGTGTGGAAACCATTTTCCCCTACTTCTTAAAGGGTGAATATTTCTGTTTCTAGGGCCAAAGCAGGAAGGTAGGGAGAGGAACTAAGATAATTCCAACCACACGGGACATAGAATATAGCACAGAAGTACTACAATTTATTTAATCATTTGCCTATTAACATTTTTTGTTACAAATATTGCCATAATAAACAGTAGGATAATGAATGCTTCTGGAATAAGACTGCTAAAAGTAGAATTGCTGGATCACAGAGCATATACACTTTTATTTTTATATATTGTTTTATATTTTAATTCTAAAACCAAAACATGAATATGGCTTTAAAAGTTCCAAAAGTACAGCAGAGTAGAAAAATTGAAAACCATTATCTCCCTTTAAAATTTCTATTGGCCACCATAAAAACTCCAACATTTATTATACCACTATTTTCCTGATTTATCAATCTAAGATCTTAGTTGCTGCCTCCCAGCTATAAAAGATAAAAAGGCAGTACATTTAAACTATGATCCATCTTCTCTCACACCAAAGCCAAAATCCATTCTCAATATCTCTCTCTGAAGTATATAAAGGATGTGATACTAAAGGTTATGTAAATGCCCAACAGACTGTCTAGAAACAAATGCATATCAAGGCTTATCATTGTGAAACTTCTGACAAAGGAGGCAGAAAATGGATTTTGCTAGATTCCAGAGAGAGGAAAATAAATACCACAAGCTTTATTAGCAATGAGAATGGCTTTAAGACTTTCAGTAGCAATATGGGAAGCTGAAAGACAATGGAACAATAATTCAAAATGCTTTTTTAAAAAGTGATTTCCAACTTAGAATTTTATAACCATCCAAGGGCCAGGGTAGAATGCAGAGCTTTTTAGATGAACAAGATCTGAAAATGTTTACCTCCCACACACCCTTTCTCAGGAAACAACTTGAAAATGTGCTTCATCAAAATAGGAGAGTGAAGCAATAAAGACATTAAATACCAGAGACACTCCCAAGATAAAGGTAAAGAAGACTCCAAGATAATAGCTATGCATCAAATAGGTGTGGAAGCATGTTAGGAAACACCAGTAAGGAAACACCAGGGACTCTCCAAAATGATGAAATTCATAGAATATCTGATATGAAGTAACATACTGAGAGAATTTTTAAACAACCAGAGGAGAAGAATTTGGAGATTGAATTAGCAGTATAGTTTCCTACTTAACTATAGAAAAAATAGAAAGTTATTTAGTTAAGTTGGCTCAGGTAAAAAAGAGTCATTATTTACTACATATCTCGGTTCTGAATTACATACATTGTCATGATAATTTAAAACTAAATATTGATCTAATTTATATTAAAGAGTAGCAATATTAGGAGTGAAATAACAAGAAATTAGCTGTGTAGAGTGGGAAAGAGAGAGGAATGAGAGGTAAATACTCATCTTTTATAACAGGAAGTCAATGGATAGTGCTTAAACCAAAAAAAAAAAAAAAAAAGAAATAATAATGCAAGCTTGATTTTTAAAGATATAATGATAAACAAATTATCCAACTAAAAAATAATTTAAAATGCTCAACTGTGGGGTAGGAGAAAAAAGGGAGAAAGGAGACTGAATACACTAATTTTTAACTTTTAAAATTAAATTAATATTAAAATGTGCAATTTTGACTTTGGTAAAGACAAACATTTTGAAAATTTTAATATAATGCATAATGATCCCATTAATGATAACAACAAATGCAGCATCAAAAGAAATATTCAAAACTTCTGTTAAAACAAGCAAGCAAACAAATGATATCACTTTACACACAAATGTAAGTACCTAAATAAATAGAAATGTGTTTCACATGAGAAAATTCAATATTACAAATATAATTATCATCTATTTCACTTATATATTTAAATAATTTCTCATTAAAATTTTACAACATTTTAACAAATGATGCTGAGATAACTGAATGTCCATATGCAAAATAATGAACTGGGACTTCTACCTCACACTATATATAAACATTAATTCAAAATGGATCAAAGATCTGAATGTAAGAGCTAACACTATAAAATCTTAAAAGAAAGCATAGGTGTAAATCTTTGTGATCTTGCATTAGACAACAGGTTTTTAGCTATAATACCTACAGCACAAACAATCAAATATATACATAGGAATGCATCAAAACTAAAAACTTTTGTGGTTTGAAGGACACTATCAAGAAAATGAAAATACAACCCAAAGAAAGGGAGAAAATATTTACAAATCATATATCTGATGAGCTTAGTATCTAGAAAATATAAAGAACCATTACAACAGAAGAATAAAGACAACACAATTTAAAAATGGGCAAAGGATTTGAATAGACATTTCTCTGAAGAAAGCATGCAAATGACCATTGGTCCTTTGAAAAGCACATGAAAATATACTAAACATCATTAAATATCAAGGAAACGCAAATCAAAACCACAGTGAAAAGAGTTCCACTTCCTGCATGACAGCATGGTGAGCTCCAAAGTCCAACCCCCGAGCAAAACAAGTGAAAATTGTATTTGGAAACACAATGATTTAGTCTCTGGAAATGCTTCTAAGGGTATACAACAAGTTTTTTTAAAAAATTTATTCAAGAAAATCTACTAAAACTTAATAAGAACAGTAAGATTCTGTGGTATTCAAAACAAGACCTGCTCCCTCCCTCCCCTATCCCAGTTCATCAAGAGACAAACTCTACTCCAAACTGATGAGGTCAAGAACTCAGGGCTCTCTTTCCTCCCAGCTTCCAGTTGGAGAGCTAACCTCCTAGAAGAGGGGGGATTTCAGCATTTCTTATCCTATGCCTAGTTCTGAAGCTAAGTTTCAGGTGAGAGGTCAGTTACAGCTGAGAGGTCAGGGCTCCCTTGTTCCACCAAGCCCCTACTTGTGGGATGGAGGATCTACCTTAGGCATATTATTATCGTGAATTATGAGGCCCTGATCACTCTTGCCCTAACAAATAAGTCAGTAAAGAAGAAATTGAAGGATAAAAACATGCAAGACATACAGGATACAAAAACTAAAATGGCAGACATAAATCCAACTATGTCAATAATAACATTAAATGTGAATGTATTGAACAATCCAATCAAAAGGCAGGAAATCACAGACTGCATTTAAAAAAACACACACACAAGATCTAACTCTATGCTATCTACAGGGTATATACTTTAAATGTATATACAGGATATATATGTTTTCAAAGTTCATCCATGTTGTAGCTTGTGTCAGCACTTCATTCCATTGTATGCCTGAATAATTGTCTACTATATAGATATACTACATTTTCTTTATATATCTTTAAGTTGAACATTTGGATTGTTTCCATTTTTGGCTATTATGGATGATGCTGCTATGAATGTTTATGTACAAGTTTTTGTGTGAACATATATTTTTAGTTCTTTAAGGTGGGACTTCAGAGCTCACCATGCTGTCATGGAAGTGGAACTCTTTTAATTGTGGTTTTGGTTTCCATTTCCTTAATGTTTAATGATGTTTAGTATCTTTTCATGTGCTTTTCAAATGACCAATGGTCATTTGCATACTTTCTTCAGAGAAATGACTATTCAAATCCTTTGCCAATCTTTATATTGCGTTATTTGCCTTTATTATTCTGTTATAACAGTTCTTTATATAATAAATATATTATTCCATAATATAGAAATATCAGTGTATATACAGGATATACACTTTAAATTCAAAAATTCAAATACGTTAAAAGTAAAAGGATGTATCATTCAAACAGTAACCACAATAAAATTGGAATGGCTACACTAATATCAGATGACACAGACTAAAACAAAGCATGTGACTACAGGGATATTTTATAATAAAAGGGTCATTCCACGATGAAAATAAAGCAATTACAAATATATATGCATCTAACAGCAGGACACCAAAATACATGAAGAAAAAACTGACAGAATGAAGGGAGAAATAGACAATTCAATAATAATAGTTGAAAATATTAATACCCCACTTTTAGTAATGGATGAAACATCTAGGCAGAAGATCAACAAGGAAATAGAAGACTTGAACAACACTATCAACCAAATAGACCTAATAGAAATCTATAGAATATTCTACCCAACAATAACAGAGTATACATTATCCTCAAGTGGACATAAAATATTCTCCAGGAAAGACCATAGGTTTACCAAAAAACAAACCTCAGTAAATTTAAAAAGATAGAAATTACAAGATATGTTCTATAACCACGATGGAACACTATGAGAAACCAATAACAGAAAAAAAATTTGGAATTTCACAAATATGTGGTAAATAACACACCCATAAATAACCAAAGGGTAAAAGAAGAAATCAAAGGGAAATTAGAAAATAATTTTAAATAAATTAAAATTAAAATATAGCTGTCAAAATTTATGAGGTATAGCTAAAGTAGTTACTTTAGAAAAGAGTTTGACGATTCTTCAAAAAGTTAAACATACAGTTACCATATGATCCAGCAGGTCCACCCATAGAACTGTACCAAAAACAACTAAAAAATACATGTTCACACACACAAAAAGTGTGCACATTCATAGCAGCATAATTCATAATAGCCAAAAATGGAAACAACCTAAATGTTCAACCTGTATATTTAAAAATGTAGTATATCTATATATAGTAGACAATTATTCAGGCATAAAATGGAATGAAGTATTGACACATGCTACAACATGGATGAACCCTGAAAACATTATGCTAAGTGAAAGAAAACAGAGACAAAAAGCCAATATATTATATGACTACCTATATATATGAAATGTCCAGAATAGACAAGTCCATAGAAACAGAAAATACATTAGCAATTGCTATTCTGGACATTTCATATACATTTAATCATATAATATGTTTCTGTGAAGATTTGCAGGTTTACCTTTCACCAGGATACAAGCCCCAGTTAGGGGATAAAGTTCTGCTTGCTGGGCTGAAGTAGCCATTGACAACAGGGCTGCTTCAGTTACTTAAAAAGAATGATAACAGTACATCCAGCAAGATACTTTTCTTCATTAACGGACATGTATGATCCATCAGTAAACTATGAAAATTCTGCATCTGGTATACGGGTTTCTTGTAAATCAGCTCTAGGTTTTAGTAGCTGGTCAGTTAAATTTAGTCAGTTATGAGGTGTCTCGTCATTGAATAAGAGAAGGCAATTTGCTGGATTATGATTATTGAAATGAGAAAGAATAATATGAGAAGTCAACAGCAAGATCTCATAAAAAGTGACTCTGCTTGCAGAAAGATATTGAGTATTATGAGAATTGATTAAAGCTTCTATAACATGAGGAACATAGATTTAGTTAAAGCCACAGTGCCTGATACAGCTCCCATGCAGGAAGGGAGTCCCTTAGCTACTGAATCTAATTGCTGGCTGTAACATCCAAGGGGTGTGTGTGTTAATCTCCATGTTTTCAGTTAAGAACCCCTAATGCACTTTCTTCTCTTTCATTCACTAGAAAGGAGGAAGGGGAGCTGATAAGGGGTGCCCTAAGGCAGGATGACTTAGAAGTCCTTATTTTAATTGAAAGGAGACTCTACAAGCATTCTCTTCCCAGTCCGGAGGCTCCAGCTTGTTAAGTTTCAGAAGGATATATAATGATAGAGCTATTAAGAAAAATTAGATACCCAGTTTCAACAGTACTCTGCCAGGCCCAAAAACCCTTGTGACTGTCTTTTAGTCTGAGGTTGAGGAAAGTTTAAAATGCTTTCGTATTAGTCCATTCTCACATTGCTACAAAGAAATACCTGAGACTGAGTAATTTACAAAGAAAAGAGGCTTAATTGACTCACAGTTCTGTGGGCTGTTCAGGAAGCATAGCGGCATCTGCTTGTCTTCTGGAGAGGCCCCAGGAAACTTACAGTTATGGCTGAAGGCAAAGAGGGAGCAGACATGTCACTTGGGCAGAGCAGGAGGAAGAGGGTGGGGGACAGGAAGGTGCTACACACTTTTTTAAACAACCATATCTTATGAAGACTCACTCACTATCCCGAGGACAGTATCAAGAGGATGGTGCTAAATCAGTCATGAAAAATCCCACCCCCGTTATCCAATCACCTCCCACCAGGCCCTACCACCAACACTGGGGATTACAATTTGACATGAGACTTGGTGGGAACACGGATCCAAACCATACAAGCTTTTAAGTCTATCAGGATCCAAGAGAGGTCCCTAGTTTAGTATCAAGTATCTGAAATATTTGACATTCCTTGGTAAATTGGAATTTTCTCTGGAAACTTTATGGCCTTTGTCTGCTAGAATTTTAAGGATATAAACGCTATCATGTTCACAAGCCTCTTTACAAGGAAAACAAAGGTTATCAACCTACTGAGAGTTGACCCTTGGGGAAAATAAATGTCCGTTAAATCTGTCTTCAGTACCTGTGAAAAGTGAGAGGGGCCTTCAGTACATCCTCGAGGCATTTCTGTCCAGGTATGTTGTTGTCCTTTCCACGTGCAGCAAATAAAAATTGTCTCTCAGTGTCCACCAGAACCAGTGCCTTTAAAAAGCACTACAAATGTCTATCACTGTGAAAAATTTACTTTCTGTGGAGATGAAAGTCAGGAAGGTACATAGATTTGTAACGACAGTGTCGAATAATGATATCGTTATCAATGGCTCTTAGGGCCTGTGCAAATCTCCACCATTGCCAAGAGGTTTCTTTACAGGAAAAACAAAAGTATTACAGGAGCTAGGAAAAAGCGGTACAAGCTTCTCACCGTGTGAAAGAAAATGAAGTAATTAAGGCTAAGGCTTTAAAGTGGAGACAGGAGATTGCAAGGGGATTGCACTCACACCTGCTAAAGGATTACAGAATGTTCCAGCTGACTTGGATAACAACTGAATTCAGTGTCTGCAGCCCTTCAACATCTCTCAGCTGGGAGTATCCTAATTAACCAATCAGAATGGGTTTGTATTTTAGGATTTCTGCCTAGCCAATGAACTGCCTCAAAAATTAACTTTTTGTGGAAGTCACCTAGAAATAAAAGTATAGATCAATGAAACAGAACAGACCCAGACAACAGACCAAAGTATATCTAGGAGCTAAAAATAAGATAAAAGAAGTATTTCAAGTTATTGCAGAAAAGATGTTATTCAAAAGTGGTGTAAGACTAGACTATTCTTTTGGTAAAAAAAAATACTGGATATCTAGCTTATACCACAGCCAAATGTAAATGTGTCCGTGGGAAAAATTGGAAAATGTGTTTTAATGAACTTTAGGTTGGATAGATTTTTCTGCAGATGACACCAAGAACACGATTCAAAATGAAAATGGTGACATATTTGATCCCATACATGTTTTAAATATTTGTATGAGATATTGGAAAGAAACTGTAAGGTAACTAAAAAATACTTGAAATCTATTCAATTCAATCTAGTATTTATATTATATAAAAAGTACTCACAAACAAAAAAATCCAATTTAAAATATATATAAATATTACATATTATATAATATAAATATATAAATATAGGATATATATTTTAATGGGCTGTATACATACATAAATTCATTTAAAATAAAATACATATAGGATAAAGGGCTCAACTTTATTCATGATCAAAATAATGCAAACAAAATAATAGCGATATATTAATTTTTACCTATCAGGTTAGCCAAGATTTAAAATGTAAGCATAAACCCCCCCCCCATTGCTAGCAAGGCTAAGGAGGAAAGGGAAATTTCATACATAGTAGGAGTAAAATGTTTCTGGAGGGAAACCTGGCAACATTTAGAGAAGTTAAAAATATAATTTTCTTTTATAAAAAGAATTGCACTCATAAGAATTTATTTTAAGAAATAAATCATGTAAGTGCAAGGATATTCATTTGCGTATTCTGTATAATAGTGGAAAAAATTGGAAACCACTTACTTGCTCATCCAAAGGAGGATGTGTAAGTAAATCCAGGACCATTCATATCATGAGATACTATCTGTAGTTGCATAGAAAAAATGCCCATGGTCGTCTATTAAATTACAAATAAAAGGATTCAAAACAGTATATATAAGATAATTTAATTTCTATAAGTAAAAATATGTATGCATAAAATTTGCAGGGACTATAAACAAAAAAAGGAAACTGGGAAAGTGTACAACTAGATATTATATCTCTAAGCTGATGGGAGTATGGATATTCTCCTTGTTTTTATTGCTTGTCTGTATTTTCTAGCCTTTTAAAGCATTTATTTCTCTGTTAATTTTCCAAAATAAAAATTTTAAATAGGAAAAAGAACAAAGAAAGAAACTTTTCTTTGCTAGATTTAAAATGTATCCTAACAATAACAAAGTAATAACTAAAACAGTGTAGTGCACTGGCCCAGGAAAATAATAAGCACATAAAGGAAAAGAAATATGATATAAATATTTATAAACACATATAGATGAATATATTTTTAAAATATGTGGATATTTCAATAAATTGTGCAATAAATATAGGGTTTTTTTGGAAAAGTCACAAAGTACCAGAAATGTAGGTGAAATTTATAAACCCTTAAGGGTAGGAAAATTCTTTCTAAGCATGGTATCAAAGGCAGAATCATGAAGGTAAAACAGATTTAATGCACAATTTAAAAGTTCTGTGGCCAGACACAGTGGCTCACTGTGCAATTCCAGTACTTTGGGAGGCCAAGGCGGGAGGATTGCTTGAGCCCAAGAGTTTGAGACCAGCTTGGCAATATAGCAAGACCTATCTCTACAAAAAGTAAATAATTGGCCAGTCAAAAGTCATAGTGGCACACACCTGTAGTCCCAGTTACTCATGAGGCTGTGGTACGAAGATCAGTTGAGCCCAGGAGGTCGAGGCTGCAGTGAGCCCTGATTGCAACATTGCACTCCAGCCTCGGAGACAGAGAGAGATCCTGTCTCAGTAAATAAACAAATAAATAAATAAATAACATGTTCTATGTACTTAAAGTATACCCAAATCAAAAATAAAATGAAAGTTTTGAAAAATATTTGTTAAGAAATGAAAAAGACAAATGCTCATAATATATAGTTTTCACAGAATAAAAATGTAGCTATGATTATATCTCTATTGCCTAGTGTTTTTCACATCCACAGTCCACATCAGAAAACAGCAATCCTGGGTTGATTCTTCTGCCTCAGGTACTATAATTTTCAATATATTGCATATAAAACACACCCTGTATCCCGGCCCCAACTGAGTGGAACAAGCACCAGTGTGTGCTCTGGTTATCCTTTTTCTGACCTGGTAACAATCTTTTCTTGCCCTTCGCTGATCAACTCTGCTCTGTGCCCCAGTGGGCTGCACACACGCATGCGCACACACACACACACACCACACACACTGCACCACCCAGGCTCTTAGATCTCTGCATTCTGGTTGGGTCTAGCCGATTGAAAGCACCAGCGAAAGGTTGGAAGTGTGGGAAGAGAGGTTAGGGGATGTAGTCTCTGGTTTCCTCCCTGCTCCCCCTTGCACTGTGGTTCTGGCAGTGTCTAGTGCCTCTACCATTAGTGCTCTAACCAGGCAACCCCCTGCCACACGTCCGCCACTCAGGTGACACTAATTCCTTATCACCATTTCAAGCCTAGGGTCTTAATGGCTTTATTTTTAGTTAATGTTGTTACTAGTCTCTGAGTGCCTCAACATCCCTCATGATTCCCCTTAATTCTGCCCATACCTTGGTAAACAGCCTCTTCATTAAATTCTCTCCAAAATCTCCACGAGTTCACCTTCATTTCCTATAGTCCCTGCCTGAGAAAGTGGATGAACGCAATGCTATCAAAAATTGGCAAGGAACTGCAACCTCCTCTGAGTTGGCTTAGTAAGATTGTATACCTAATCAGAATGATCCCCATTAAGATGACGCATCTCCCTATTTATATCTCCTTTAGGTGAACTCAGAGGAAGTGGGTCACTGAGTTCCAGCTGTATCTGGATGACCCTAAACTCTTGTAACTCTCTATGATGCCAATGCACTGGAAGCCCTGGGAGTCATAGGGGGCTTGTTGTTATAACCCAGATTTCAACAGGCTTTTCTAACTCCTTGAGACCTAGAAAAGTCTCTGAAATTTTAGCCAACATCAGACTTATGAGACTATAAATATTGGAACAAAACAGGTAAATTATCATTACTTCCTGATGATGCTCATGAAGCCCAAGAAAATCAACTAAAAAGAATACTATGTATAAATAATTTTTCCATAGCTGACTAGTTCCATATTTGTCATAAATTATTTTTTATTCTTGATTTTTCCCTCTTCCTAATGTCCCATTGTAATGGGATCTTTGGGGTGTCACTCTTCTGGCCAGAAACCTCTGTGGCTGGCTGGTGACACCTTTGCCCAAGTTCTTGTCCTATGTCCAGAAAGAATGAGGTATGCAAACAAGTGGAAGTTGAACAAGATGAAGAGGAGCTTTATTGAGTGTTATGACAGCTCAGAGGAGACCCACAGAGGGTAGCTCCTCTCTGTAGGCAGGTAGTCCTGTCAAGTGTTCAGCTCTCAGCAGAGAGGAGGGCCTGGAGAAGGTAGCTCCTCTCTGCAGGCAGGTAGTCCTGTCAAGTGTTCAGCTCTCAGCAGAGAGGAGGGCCTGGAGAAGGTAGCTCCTCTCTGCAACTGGTCATCCTGATATCTGCAGCTCTCAGCAGAGGAGGCCCTGGAGAGGGTGGCTCCTCTCTGCTGGCAGGTCATCCTGTGATCTCTACAGCTCTCAGCAGAGAGGGTAGCTCCTCTCTGCAGCTGGTCATCTCATTATCTCCAACTCTCAGCAGAGACAGTATCTCCTCTCTGCGGCTGATCATCCAGTCCTCTCTCCATCCTCTGCTGGCTCTTGCTGAGCCCGTGGCTTTTATGGACCTCAGAGGGGAGGAAGTGTGTGTTGATTGGTCCATGGCGGCCATGGGTGGCAGGTCCTGGAAAAGGCACCAGAAGCCCCCACTCCAGTTTGCGGGACTGGCGGCCCAGCCCCCAGAATTCAGGCCCTCCCTGGCCTGAAGGTGGGGCCTTACTGGGACTGCCCTCTTCTGCCCAGGAACCTGTTTGCCTCCTGCTGCCATTCATGGTGCCAAAGCTCACCCAGACTTCTCTAAGATCTGAGCAGGTACCAACAGCAGGGGAGAAGCCAGGCAGGCAGTGGGAGCAGGCACTTCTGAGTCTACAAGGGCAGGGGTCCTTCTCAGCCCCCAAGAGTTCAGGGATGCAGGGAAAGGGGGAGGGTCTGGCTCCTGCTCCTGCTCCTGCTGCACGAAGTGGGAGGCCCGGATCTGTAGCCACTGATCCGGTTGTTGCAGCTGCACCTGGGAGGGTGGGGCTCCTGCCTGTTCCATGAAGCAGGAGGCCCAGGTCTACAGCTGCAGTGTGGGTAGCTGCAGGGCACCCTGGGAGCTCCAACCCCAACTCGGAACAGGCAGGGCTCCCGCTTGTCCAAGGATCCCGCCAGCTCCATGGAGCATGCAGCCCTGGCAATGCCTCCCTGCTGCTGCCATCACCATGACCTATCAGTCACTAAGTGAGCAATTCTATGTGATATTTCTTGAAATTCTCCATCTGACTCCATTTTTATTTTGACTGCCCAGACTATCCAGGGTCAACAGCAGTCAAGGCCTCTTTGCCATGGCAGCAACCCATGAGTCAGCCAAGATGAGCAGACAGGCTGCCTGAAGAGCCCACCGGGACAGGGGCTTCTGAGCTCCACTCAGAAG
Source organism: Homo sapiens (assembly GCF_000001405.40). Lineage (NCBI taxonomy): Eukaryota > Metazoa > Chordata > Mammalia > Primates > Hominidae > Homo > Homo sapiens. Next base: position 116,383 of record NT_187583.1, read on the forward strand.
TGGAGCAGGTAAATGATCAAGGTGGCAGCAGGTAAATGATCAAGTGAACTGATTCATGAACATTAAAATGAAGCAGAAAACACTAGATGTGTGTGTGTGTGTGAATGCATGTGGGTGAGTGTGTGCTTAACTTTAGATCCCAATAGGGACACGTGCTTTTCAAATGCTTATGACACACACAAATTGGCCATAGATTCAGCTGCAAAGAAGTTTTTAATAGATTTCCAAAGATAGAAGTCATATAGAGTACAGTGTTTATCGAAATAAATTAAAACTGAAAATGATAACAGAAAATAGAAAAAAAAATTCTAAGCACTTAAAAATGAATACCTCTTATAAATATCTTGAGTTTTTAAATATATTCCTTTTATGGCATAACTAGAAATGGATCACTATCATCAAAGGAATGCATTGTATATCACTATTTGTCCAAAGTGGTAAACTGAAGAAAACTTGTAGCCTTAACACTATTTAATTTAAAATTAGGGTGATTTATAAAATGAAATATTCAATCAAGGGGGCTAGAAAAATACCACTAATCATAATGCAAAAAGTGGTGGAAATGAATTAATACATATAAAAGCATGAATTAAATAAATTACAGAAAACCAGTATACTTGATTTAATGAGGAAATATCTACTTCTTTGCAATAACCAATAATTGGCACATCCTGGATAAGTCTACCAAAGGGAGAAAAGAAAAAGAAAGAGATGTAAGAAAAGAAAGGAAAAAAACATAAAATTAAAATAAGGAAAAGATGTATAACCACAAATTAAAATAATTTGCTAGGTTCAGCTTGATACTATAACCATTTTATAACAAATAATTTGAAAAAGCTAAATGAAGGAATTGTTTTCCCAACTGTTATAGAGTAATACTTCCCAATATTTTTCACACCATAGAATTCTTGGAAAATGATAATGTTGCATGGCACAGTAGTGTGAAAGAAAAATTTTACTTGTGCCTAGAAGCAATAGCCATTAAAATTCTGGCCATCTCAGCACATCTGTTACCCACTTATGGCAGGCTGGTTGGAAGTTGTATTGTAAAAGTCCTAGTCAAGACAATATGCCAAGATTAGGGGGAGACAATGAGGAAGAAAATGCTAAAATGAAGAAACACAATCATCAAAATTATGATTTTTTGCAGATACTATTATGTAATTAAATTGATAGAAGAAAAAATAGGGAAAACCTCAACATAAAATCATAAACAGAAGAGTTAGGAGTGGAACTCTAAGTTCAGAATCAGTGGATACAAGCAACAGGAAGAAGCAATGGAGATAGTCATCAGAATGATTAAATAAGGTATTGCCAATAGTTGACCAATCCCTTTTCCTCTGCTTATGCTGAGCACAAGCTCATTCCCTGTGAAATTAAAGTAGTGAGTGTGGCCCCTAGGAACAGAGACTCAGGGCAATTTTCCAGGTAGGGTGGGCAAACCAAGATGAATGGATTGCGCCAACAATCAAAAAAAATTTTTTTAATTATTGACATACTCACATGGCATGTTCTACTCCTCCAAATGATAAAGGGAAGCTCATCAGAAACCACATACATAGGTAAATACAGAGAAATTATCAGTCCAAAGGTGAGATGGCAATCAAAAACCACCAGGCATTTGAGGAAATTTTACGCCTTAAAAGAGAGAAACCAGACAGGTGCAATGGCTCATGCCTGTAATCACAACACTCTGGGAGGCCAAGGCAGGAGCATCACTTGAGCCCACGAGTTCCAGACCAGCCTGGGAAACATGATGAGACTCTATCTCTACAGCAAAAAAATTTTTAATTAGCCAAGCATGGTGGTATGAGCCTCGGCTACTCAGGAGGCTGAGGCAGGAGGATCTCTTGGCCCAGCAGGTTGAGGCTGCAGTGAACCATGATTGCACCACTGCACTCTAGCCTGGGTGACAGAGTGAGACCCTGTCTCAAAAAAAAAGAAAGAAAGAGAGAAACTTAATTTCATTAACAAGAAATAATACCTAATAAAACAGATCATAAACAAAAAAAGTTAAAATTACTTCAATTAATAGAAACATACATTACTAAGAAGATTATTTAATTATGTACTTTAAATACTTGAAATTGTGATGACTGAAAAATATTTGAAACTTATTAGATAAAAGAATGGGCTGAAAAAGGGAATAGACATGATTGAAGAAGGGACTGATGGACTAGAAAACTAAACTTTGTTTTCACCACCTAAAAGCAGAACAGAAAGAAAAGATTTGGAAAATAAAAAAGTGGACATGCAGAAGATATATTCAGAAACTCAAGCCCTATTTATTTAAATAGAGTTCCAAAAGGAGAAAATAGAATGAGGAGAGAAAACAGTCAAAGATAACTTTAAGAACATTTCACACAGCTTAAGAAACACAAAAGTCTTCAGATTTAAAAGTCCCATTGAGTGACAAGCATGGTGAATGTTACAGAGGCACAAATCCAGATTCCTCCCATGGTAAGTTTCAGAGCACCAAGAATGGAGTGTAATATTACAAACTTTGGGCGCGGGAGGAGAACATAATTTGACTCTAAAGAAATAAAAAGATTAATCCCATGCTTTTCTTTAGCAACAGTTTGTGATAGAATGCAATAGGCTTTCCTCAAAGTTCTAAGAAAAGTTTATTTTGAGCCTAAACTACATCTAGTCAAACTAGCATTGAGATGAAGTACAAAACAAAGCATTTCAAACATGCAAGATTTCAGGAAGTTTATTGCTCTCAGGCTCTCTCTGAAAGAAACCCCATCTCTACTAAAAATTCAAGAAATTAGCCGGGCATGGTGGCAGGTGCCTGTAGTCCCAGCTACTCGGGAGGCTGAGGCAGGAGAATCGCTTTAACCTGGGAGGCAGAGCTTGTAGTGAGCCAAGATCACGCCATTGCACTCCAGCCAGGGCAACAGAGTGAGACTCCGTCTCAAAAAAAAAAAAGAAAGAAAGAAAGAAAAAGAAAAAAGAAAAGAAAAGAAAGAACTATTCCAGGATATAATCCAGCAAAAAAAAAAAAAAAAAAAGGGGGATTTCAAGTCAAAGGGAAATCACACACGCAGACACAAGTGAAGTAAAACTCAAGGAAATCATATAATTAACCTCAAACAATTATTGACGCAGGCTGCAAAAAAATGAGTTTGGAAAGAAATCTCAGCGTCAACAAGAGAGATTATAATACAAGGCAAGAGAGTGGGTTTGGGGGAGAAGGAAATAAAAGTGTACTGAAGTTTTACCTTTTTTTTTTTTTTTTTTTTTTTTTTTTTTTGAGACTGAGTCTCACTTTGTTGTCCAGGCTGGACTGCAGTAGCGTAATCTCAGTTCACTGCAACCCCCGCCTCCCGAGTTCAAGAAATTCTCATGCCTCAGCCTCCGGAGTAGCTGGGACTACAGACGCGAGCCACCACACCCAGCTAATTTTCGTATTTTTAGTAGAGACGGGGTTTCACCATGTTGACCAGGCTGGTTTCGAACTCCTCATCTCAGATGACCCGCCCGCCTTGGCCTTCCAAAGTGTTGGGATTACAGGCGTGAGCCACCAGGCCTGACCTGAAGTTTTAATCTTGTTGAGGGAAAAGGATATAGTGAATAGATGTATTGATTAATTATATAAATCAATCTAAAATATTTAACATTTAACATTCTTAAAATTAAAATTCCTTAATTGTAATTTTAAAATTCTTTGAAATTGTGTTTCTATTTTAATTTGGTTGTACTTTTTTCTTAATTCTTGAGATAATCACTAAGGATAGATACTTTTACCCCTAGAAATACTGTTTCACTCCATAAGAGATTATTTCAGAAGTTATCTTCAGCCCCCATGGCACCCTCTCACTCCCCTTAACCAATCCATCACTAATGGTCATGCCAGTTTCATCCCAATACCTCCCCAGTCTATCTGTCTCTTTTGTAACCACCACAGTTCAGCCCATCATACCTCTTACCTGGACAGCCTCAATAGTCAGCTAACTGGAATCCCCGTATCAATGTCTGTTTCCCATTGCCTACACTGCAACTTCTCAAAGATCTTTTCAAAATGCAAATCTGTTCATGTCTGCTCTTGGCTTAAAACTTTTTGATGTCATTAGATGTATACGAGAGACTTCAATTATAATCAAGTTCATATTATTTAAAAGCATTATCCAATTATAGTATTATATTTAAGTTAGTAGTAGTTACATGGAAATGTATTACATTATCCTCTGTCATCTATATATGAAACATTTCTCACATGAGAAAAACAGCCAAAAAGTTCAAAACAAACAAAAAATCAAAATCAAAATATAGCAAGAGATTTTTCAATTGCATCCTTAATGAAGTATTAAAGTTTTCTATATCCAATCCTTGCACATGGGCCATGCTGATCTTCTCTGTATCCAATTTTAGTACATGTGCTCCCGAAGTGAGCACTATATGTCTAAACTTAACACCTCCTCAGTTATGATATTAATACTTCTCATACTTCTTTGAGTTCTTTGTCTGAGATTTCTTTTTGCTACAGAGGCTTTGTTGTTTCTGCCCATGGCTCTCTCTGCCACCTACTCTCTACAAACTCCCTGGTTAATTCCTATTTAAAATTCAGATTTAAATGTAAATATCACTTTCTTGGAGATGTATTTCTTAACCTGTCCAGCCTAGATCAAGGTAGATAGATCAATAGATAGATGATAGATAGATAGATAGATAGATAGATAGATAGATAGATAGTCTTATTGGTTTGCTTTACATATTCCTCCAAACACTTATTGGCTTGTGATGATGCGCTGATTTATGTAATTATTTTATGTATGTATTTTGCCGTCTACTATAAGCCCCATATGGGCAGGAACAATGTCTGTTTTGGTTCCTTATTTTCAAGTCTAGCATGGAGTGACCCCTTGGTAAGTGTGAGTTGAATGAAGAAGAAAAGGGACATGCTGTGCCTGGGATACGGTCAAAACTTAGAACCTGGAGTTAAAGGGAAAGGTAGTCTATTGCCTCTTCTGCCACTTAGCTTTGGACAATGCATTTGAGCCTTCCCAGCTAGGTTTCTTCATGAGTAAAATGAAGGTAATAGTAGTGCCTCTGCTACAGGGCTGTTAAGAGCATTAAATGAGAAAGCACAAAGAGCTCAGCAGAGTGCCCAGCTCATAGTAGACACTCAAATCATTATTCATTATATTTTCATGCTTCTATATTTTTCTTCTTTTGTTACAAAATTTTCACACTGAAATGTTCTCCCTCTCTGCTCATGCTCTTCCTACTGTGATGTGTTGATCTTTTGTGTCAAACTGAAACTGCTTTCCATTTCAGGTCATCTGCAGAGCATTTGAATGATAGGAGGAGGAGATGATGGCGCTGCCATTTATCTGTCAGATGTGTCACTCTCTGTGAGGGGCTGGCCTCTCACAGACCTGGGGTTCCACGGGCTGCAGGGAACCCACCCGAGGTAGAGACCTCTGGGCTGGGCCCCTTGTTCTTTCCTTTCACTCTGTCGAATCCTTGGCTTTTATTTTTCTTCAGGGAAAACATGACGGTGTTTTTCTTGTAGATTTGTTTTGTTTTATTTTTACTTCAGATTCATGTGCTTATATTGGACAAATCTTAAAGCTTCCACATGTTATCCAGGGAAAAATGTATTGCTTTTTATTGAGTTGAGACTGATCAAGCTATCAAAAATTCACACTTGGCTGAGGCTGTCTTAAGTTTGGTCAACTTCTCTAGGTTCAGCAAGATTTTGTAACTATTACTGAAGTCTGTGGTGGCAAAGGGGCTCCGTGAAGGGAAACATCTGGATTTAAAGTAGACTTTAATTACATCTCACACCCCTGCTCTAGACCAATGTTTAAAACCCCAGGGAGAAGCTTAAAAGTGTGACTCCGTTTGAAACTCAGGAGTCATTTTAACCTAATTGCTCCCTTATAGCTTAAAGCTAACACCTAAGCCTTTAAGAATAAACTCATAGTCCCTGATTCCTGACTGTATTTGCCCTGAGTAAGTGCTCCCACAGGATCTGCACACTATCGCTAATTTCAGTAAATGTTTTCACGGTCTTGGCTGTAGAGTTAATGCCTAACAAGTTCCAGAGGAACCAATTTCCTGCTGGAGGAAACTTCCTTACCAAGTTTCCTAATTATTCCCAGTCATTGCCCTGTAGAATCCAACTGGCCAGGGGAGGCTGTTAATAGGCCACAGGTGACAGCTACAGTTAGGTTACCAAGGAAACAGATCAACCATGCAGAGAGCGATGTTTGACACAAGGAGACCAGGGACCCGTAAATACATGTATTTCCTGCTGCCTCTTGTTTCCTGAGGTGGGGGGAATCAGGACATACATCCTTCCTCTCAAAGTCATTGAGAAATTGACTATAGTGAATTCTCCCAGCCAACATTCTGAAACTTTTTGGTCTCAAGACTCCTTTATACTTCTAAAATTTCTAGAAAACCCCAAAGAGTTTTTGTTTATGAAGATTATAGCAATTCATATTTACTATATTCAATATTAAAACTAAGACATTTAAAAACATTTATTTAACTCATTCAAAAATAATAATAACTCCGTTACATGTTGACAGAAATAACAATTTTGATCAAAGATATTTAAAAGGATGTTATTGTTTTACATTTTTGCAAATCTCTTTAATATCTGGCTTAGAACACAGCTGAATTCTGTTTCTGCATTCAATCTGTTGTGATATAATGCATCATGTAGCTTCTGGAAGACTACTGTACATTCTTGGGCAAATGAGAGATAAAAGGCAAATAATATTTTTAAATTACTATGAAAATAATTTTGATCTCACAGTACTCATAAAAGTGTCTCAGGGTCTCCCAGAGGCCCCAAAACCAACTCTCAGGACAACTATTCTAAACAAAACCGCACTAAAAGATGGTCATTGAATAGCTTTATCTGAATGAAACACAAAGCAAAGCAATAGACCAAGAGACAAGTTTACAATTATGAAAGTGGGAGCATCTGTGCTCTGCTCTTCATATTTCTGCTACTTTCGGCCATCCTGACCTACAAGGACTTCCAGCCTCTTGTCCAGACATCCTTATAATGACATCTGGCCCTAACACCAAAAATAGATTTACTACAATTTTCTTTTGAAACAGTGACTTGAAATTCTATAAACTACCAAGTATCAGCAGTCCATAGAGTTTTTTAGCAAAGGCTACAATGTTAGCAAAAAGCAGGTAATATTTGGCAACAATAATCACAGAGACTGAACAAATTTTCATTCGTAATAAACGCCTGATTTTCCCCACCTTTATAAAGGCCTGTCTGAGAAGCCAAAAGATAGGGGAAACACGAACTTTCTAAAAAGAATTGCCCTTATGTACTTCCCAGAAGTGGTTGTATCTTATGCCCAAATTGCATACGCTGATGGGATGGATTCTTTGGATGCCAAAAGAGTTGCACAAGGACACGTGATGATCTCAGGCAGTGTGTCAGACCTCCAAGAACATCCAGTATTGATTTGAACAACTCTGCCCACAATCTCTGCTTAAGACCTATTATTCCAGGCATACAGTCTACCCAATCTGGCCACCTCTGTAAGGCTGTTTGAGCCTGAGCTACATATTGGAGACAAGATCTTAGTGCACAGTCACTAACGCAATGCCTGGGGCACTTAAGCCCAACATGGGGGTACTTTCAGTTCCTGTTCTTTTATCACATGAGAGACAGTAGAATACACCTACTAGTCAAAAGCACAAACTCTGAAGTCCAAGAAATCTGTGTTCTAGTCCTACCCTGTCACAAAATAATTTTGAATATTTGGACAAATTATTTAGTATCTTTCAGCTCCTTTGTCAAATGGTATTGTTGTGAAGATTAAATGAGTTCATACACGTAAGGGACTTAGTAAGGTATAGAGTATTCAATAAATACTGGCTATTTTTTTAAGGGACGGGGTCTCCCTATGTTGCCCAAGCTGGTCTGGAACTCCTGGGCTCAAGAGATCCTCCTGCCTCAACCTCCAAAAGTGCTGGGATCATAGGCATGAGCCACCATGCCTATAGAGATAAATGTTGGTAAACCATAAGCAAGTTTAATTCCCTGGACTTTCAGCCGTGAGAGTATAGCAATTACACACTGTAGCCATTAGATGGCAGTAAGAATTTAGTCTATCTTTTGGCATAAAGCGCCAACTATTTCCTGGAGTTTTTATTCATCTAGGGCTTGGAGGCTTCACCCTCAAGCTTCTTCTTAGATCCACTTCCTTTGTCCTTGCTACCCTGTCCCCTGGTCTCTTAATTTGAACTGCTTGGTCTCTGGAAGCCCTGTAACATCATGGGTCTCTACTCTTCCCTCTGGTTTGCACATACTACATCCATTTGTGTCTGTCTCTTCCTCAGATACAAACCACATCAGCACAGGGCCTGTGCCACACTGATTCAATCTCTCTCCTCTATTGGATTTTTTTCATGGGACTTCAAACATTCTGCAATCTCTCCAGCTTAAGAAGATCCTCCCTGGATCAGGCAGCCCTCTCTAGGTATTGCTTTCTAACTCTGTCCCCACAATTCAGACCTCCGTTTTGAGCCTGACCTATATACCCCAGCTATCTATTTGACTGATTTCATGCAGGCATCTGACACCTTAGTCATTCAAAACTGGATTTCACCCCCAAAAGCCCTCTCTTCCAGCAATCCATATCTCAACAAATGGAACCCCCATCCACTCTCTCCTCCAACCAGAAAGGTAGGCTTATCCCTGACACCTTTCTCCTACCCTCTCCCCACATATAATCCTTACCAAGTCCTGTCAATTTGATTTCTTAAATATGGGTATAAACTTTCACATTGCTGCCTTTCCACTGCAGAGGTGTCAGGGATAAGCCCACCTTTCTTGTTGGAGCAGAGAGTGGATGGGGGTTCCATTTGTCGAGGTAAGGAACACTGGAAGGGAAGGCTTAGTCCAAGCTAAGCTAAGGTGAAAGTCCTACTCTCAGCTGGGCCACAGCAATTGCCACTGCCTTGTCTATTATCTTCTCAGCAGCCAGAATGATGTTTTAAAATACAAATTTGGCCATGTGACTACTCAGTGTTAAACCTTTCCCTGGCCACCTATTGCTAGTAGGTGAAGTTCAAAGTTCTTATTGTACCTACAAGGCTTTGCACAGTCTGCCTTCAGCTTATCGCTCCACCCTACTCCTCCCTCTCCCTCTCCAGCCCTCTCCCGTTCCTGAAGTGGCATCAAGCTCCTTCATATTCATACCTTCAAACACTTTATTCCTTCCAGATGAACTGCTCCCTCCTCCACAGCTGGGCCTGGCTAACTCCCATCATCCTTTAAGACTCCATTTAAGTGTTACTTTCTCAGGGAGGCCTTCTCTGTCCTCAGCACCACTCCTCTCCCTGCCACCCCTCCAGGTTAGATAAGTTCTTCCTATTATAATCTCAAGGTATTTTGTGTTTTTTCTTTATAACAGTTATCACAATTATAATTATGTTTCGTTATGTATTTATCTAATAATCCTCTCTCTCATTAGACTATCTTGCTTATCTTTGTGTTCCCAGCACCTGGCACAGTGCCTAGTACATAAAAATCATTCAACAAACATTGTTGGTTAAAGATTAAATGGCTTTTTTTCCTCAAACTGGCCATTCTCACTCTCACAGTGTCTTGGCAGAAACTGCTAGAAAGTAACAGCCCAACACACACACACACATACACACACACACACACACACGCACACAGAGAAAGAAAGAGAGACATGCACCAAATATAGTCTCTATACAAATAACACTCATCCTTCACTACTTAATTCAAATGTCACGTCAACAATGCAACCATAAGAAAAAACTAAAAGTAGACATTGGCTTTGGGATGGGAGAAAGGACAGAATCAGCAAGCATCTTGAGGATATTGCTGATGAAAGTTTGAAGAGCTTCAAGGAGACGGTTGATATAGAACTTGCAGACAGTGAGGAAAATGTTATCAGATGCTGGATTAAAGAACACCCAAAAGATGCCTTGGCCAAACAGTTAACAAAATCATCACTGCAGCAATGTAGAAAATAAAAAAATATATCAATAAAATGGCAGATCTGACTAAGGATATTCCCAGGCAGAATATCATAAGAGCTGATTTCTTTTAGCTGCATATAATAAAATACTAGTAGAGAAAAATAAGCTAAAGAACAAACTATTCAGTTTTTTAACAGAATATGGAGAAAATGTAAAGGATCCGGAACTTGCTATATTCAAAATAAATATGTCCGTCATTCCCAGTCTCTTCCAGTGAATGATTTTGAAAGAAAGAAATGGTTTGGGGGCAAAGATCAAATTCAGGGAGTGGTTTGTAAGACCCTTTGTTAAAACCTTAGAAAAACCTTTAACAAAAAAGAACTCCATCCTGCCTGATCAACAGAATACTGTGGAAGTCACATTGCTCCAGTTTCTTGGATCAGACCTTGAGTGACTGGCAGATTCCAGAATACTCAAACACTCACCATGGTATGTGTCATTTTTAAAAGGAGGGGTTGGGAGAGTTTGTGTGTAAATTTTCTGTTGATGATCCCCACTAAAGACTTGCTAGGTCTTCTCAACAGTTCATTACTGTAATGAACAACCAAGTTATTTGCCTTGAGCCTGGTCAGGAGTCTCCTGAAATAGCAAAGTTATGTTAATGAAAACAGTGAAATGATAAAGTCATCTTAATGTAGATGGTAAGTTATATGGGTTTGGTAGTTTGGGTCCCTAGAGTTTTCATTCTATATGAATTGATATTGAAAGAGCTGTCAAAATAAAAGTTGCACTGGGCAAAGTTGAACAGGAAGAGATACTTTATTCAAGACTATTGCAACAAGGGACAGAGATTAAACTCAACTCAGCTGAAACAAAAGCCTGGCGAGAGTTTAACAGCTGGAGTAGAGGGAATCATAAGACAGTGGTGTTCACTAATTGGCTGAACCCAAAGCAAACTTTCTCTGCTTATAACAGGAGGTACTTGTATAACTTGGAGCAAAATGTCTACTGAAGTTAGGCTCCTACCCTCCCATGGAGACTGGAAGATAAGGAGCTATTTCTTTTGATGTTTACATTTAAAACTAGTAAGAGGCTTCTAAGCAGATTTACATACATTTCAAAGGAGGCAGAGAAAAAATTTGCAATTACAAGTTTTCTCCAGTGATTTAAGAAAAGGGAGGTCAGGGACCTAGAGTCAGGAAAAAAAAAAAAAAAAACACCTGTCTTAATTTTACTTAAGCTGAGGGGAATGTTGAAGGCCATCTCAATCAAAGCATTCCTGTTATTTAAATTGAAGGAATTTCTCTATTTCTGCACTGTATTATTTGGGCTACATTGTGCTGTTGTCCTTATTGCACAAGCTTTTGGTGAGTTAGTTTGAATAATGTGTCTATATGTAATTTGAGTTGGGAAATAGGTGGAAACAGCCCAGTGAAGAAATGTCAAGTAATGCCTTCACTTAATTAATTCTGACCTCTTTCAGATGCCCCTTTTCCCAAGAAGATATAAAAGTATAGTAATAGGCATTAGGGCTGGGCATGGTGGCTCATACCTATAATACTAGCACTTTAGGAAGCCAAGGTGGGAGGACTGCTTGAGCCCAGGAGTTCAAGACCAACTTGGGCAACATAGAGAGACTCTGTCTCTACAAAAAATTAAAAAATCAACTGGGTGTGGTGATGCATGCCTGTAGTTCCAGCTATGCAGGAGGAGGATTGCTTGAGCCTGGGAGGTCAAGGCTGCAGTGAGCTGGGATGGTGCCACTGCACTCCAGCCTGGGCAACAGGGTCAGACTCTGTCTCAAAAAAAAAAGAAAAAGAAAATAGATACTGGGAGCATGGCCAGTTGTAACTATGCAAGGGAAAGGACACGCCTGTTAGCTGTTAGCAGTGAGCAAATCAAGGGACTTCAGAAACCCAAAAGGCTCCTTATGTGAAGAAGTTGGCTGCAGAATTTAACCCCAGCCTTCACATGTCACAGGCTAAATTAGTTTGCTATGGCTGTCATAGCAAAATATCACAGACTGGTGGCTTAAACAGAAATTTATTTCTCATAGTTCTGGATGCTAGAAGCCCAAGATTAAAGTATCAATAGATTTTGTTTCTCCTGAGGCCTTTTTCATTGGCTTTGTTGACCTAAAGGAAGAAACTGAGGCAAAGTAAATATAAGCAGAGAGTTTATTTGGGGCCAAGTTTGAGGACTGTAACCCAGAAAACACAGATTCAAGTTGCCTTGTATATGTGTTCTGGCTAACAGCATTCAAATGTGGAGTTTTTTGTTGGTTTGCTTCTTGTTTGTTTTTGTGGAAACGAGGTCTCCCTATGTTACCCAGTCTCATCTCAAACTCTTGGCCTGAAGGGATCCTCCCACTTTGGCCTCCCAAAGTGCTGGGATTACAGGCATGAGCCACCATGCTTGACTATACATGGGTTTTTAAAGGAAAGAAGAAGGGGCAGTTCCTAAGTTGTTTACTAAAAATTTGTGTTAAAATACTATAAGCTACTAATTGACTATACATTGTTCTTTGCATCACAAATTCCAGAAACATGAAGATAATGGGTCGGGGTCACATTGTTCAACTTGTGGTGGCATTATCAATCACTCCTCTGGGGTTATTTCATTGATGAGCATATAACCCTGCCTTAATTTTTTTTCCCTCAAGGTAGAATTTATTAATAAGTTATGGTACATTCATAAAATGGAATACTACAAAGCAATGAAAATTAAACTACAGCTACCTACATCCATATGGATGAATTTCAAAAACAATGCTAAACTAAAAAACAAGCCAAGGAAGAGCATATGCAGAATAAATGCCTTTATATAAAGATTAAAAACAGGCAAAACTAAGCACTCTATTATTTAGGGACATGTTACTAGGTGGTAAAAACAATAAAGAAAACTAAGGGAGTTATTAACATAAGTTCTGGATAGTAATTTCTTCTGGAAATGAATGATTGGCATGCAATCCAGCAAGAATATATCCAGAGATTCTGGGGTATGTAAAGTTCAAACACTTGGTCCATTAGTAGGTACATGAATATTAATTATTGCTCCTTAAGTTATACATACATGTTTTCATATACTTTTTTGTATGTATGCTATATTTTCAAAATAAAAATAAAGACGTGACCTACAGAGTGTAATCGTAGGCACAGGGAAGGGTGGGGGGCTTTGATAGAGATGTTAGGTCAGTGGCAATGAAAATCACACCAATGTATAATCTATGGTCAAGTTATTAATCCACAAAGTATGGATTTAATTAGTTAAACTCCCAAATGACAGTCTTTCCCTTCTTAACAAGTTCTTGGGAGCCACCTTGTTAATCCTCCATTCTGGTTACATTTCATTAGGATAAGCATTTGAGACATCTTTGCTGGCTTTTTACCACATGAGACATTCAAACAAAGTATAGGTTTTTTATTATATTCTTTGGAAATAATTATGACAGACAATAAGTTTCACATACCATTAATAAATTATGTGGTCCTGGGCCAGGTGTGGTGGCTCACGCCTGTAATCCCAGCACTTTGGGAGGCCGAGGCAGGTGGATCATGAGGTCAGGAGATCGAGACCATCCTGGCTAACACGGTGAAACCCTGTCTCTACTGAAAATACAAAAAAATTAGCTGGGCATGGTGGTGGGCACCTGTAGTCCCAGGTACTGGGGAGGCTGAGGCAGGAGAATGGCATGAACCCAGGAGGCAGAGCTTGCAGTGAGCCAAGATTGCACCACTGCACTCCAGCCTGGGCAACAGAGCGAGACTCCATCTCAAAAAAAAAAAAAAAAAAAAAAATGTGGCCCTGAAGAATTTACTTGAGTGACCCCATTTCCTCATCTGCAATTAATAGCAGTGTGGCAAAGACATTTATTGCTATTGATGATAACCTTGCCTTTAAATGATTAATTCCTGACATGGGTGTGAGGGGCATGACTGAAGACTCACTCATGTCTGTCTGGGCCTGATAAACTTTGCATACATCCCATTCTTCAAACTGCTATGAGCTACTTTTCTCGGCTAGCAGATGGCCATCTTCTCACTGTGTCCTTACGTGGCCGTCCTTCAGTCTGTGTAATGTCTGCATTCTAATCTCCTCTTCTTATGAGGATACCAGATTTTTTGGATTAAGGCCAGCCCTAGTGACCTTATTTTATCTTAATTACCACTTTAAAGGTGCTAGCTCTAAATATAGTCACATTCTGAAAGTCAGGACTTCAACATATGAATGTCAGGGGACACAGTTCAGCCCATAATGCAGAACATGACTAAAAGTGAGACTTGACTGTCACTCATGTTTGAAATGCTTGTTCCCTGGTGCCACAAAGAAATAGCACTTGAACATACATTTAATTTTCTCAGCAAGGCCATTTTTATTCTCTACAGAAAGGGTACATTCACCAGCAGTTTTGCCACAAGAGTACACCGAACAAAGGAGACAGGGTTATTTATAACCTGACGCATCCACCCTACTGCTGTGTCTGGTTTCCATTGGCTGGAATGGGACCTCACTGTAACCCACATGGACCTAGGGGGACTGAACAAAGGGGGCAAATGTGGGAATAAAACACAAGAGATGAAAGAGTATATTTGGAAGAAGGGGTCAGAGGGCACCTTGCCTCTAGTGGACAAGGGCCCTGAGCTTTACACAGCCCTCCGTATTTATTAGGCAATAGAGATAGCAAGAAGGAGGGGAGTGGTTGTTGGCTGGCATTTTATTCACAGCAGGCTGGCAAGACTGCATTCTTAGAACAATAGGAGCTAGATCTCTCAATAGATAACTTCAAGGAGCCTGGCACCATGGAGTGAGGCCCTCAGCAAACGTTTTGGTAGCAGGGCAGTGTGAGTTTGGCCACATCCTGCATTCATGATAAACAGTTTGCCGTTTGATCATATAGCCTCCAGCAGAATACTAAGTTGGTCATGTCCCACAGGCTTTCGGCTCCCTGCATATCCCACTTTTTGTTTATGTATTAATTGAAAGAATGTAAGGCCAGACTGGGTAGCTCTCATTCTCTGATTGGTGGTCCATCCAATTTTACAGAAAACATAGCATTAGAACAGTGTTGTGACTCTGGCCGGCATTCTGTCTGTCTTTACACTCAGGCTCAGCTGTCTCATGGTTCGTACCAGAAGGACCGGGCTCATGGTTGGCCACCCTGGGTTCCTCCAGTCTCCCATTCCATGGTCACACATGTCTTGAGGGCACCCACAGGGTTTGTCCATCTGTAAAAACACAAGTATATCCTCTTCCCCACGTCAGTAAATCCACCGAACCTTTACATTGTCCTTCTTCCGGGGATTTCCATAACACTTTTGGATAAACTTTCCTCTTTTCCTTTAACATTTGCCAATGTCTTTCTACTGGAGTCTTACCATCCATACTAGGAGTCAAAAAATTTAAAGTAGAGGCCGGGCGCGGTGGCTCACGCCTGTAATCCCAGCACTTTGGGAGGCCAAGGCGGGCAGATCACAAGGTCAGGAGATCAAGACCATCCTGGCAAACACGGTGAAACCCCATCTCTACTAAAAATACAAAAATATTAGTCAGGCGTGGTGGCGGGCACCTGTAGTCCCAGCTACTCAGGTGGCTGAGACAGGAGAATGGCATGGACCCAGGGGGCAGAGCTTGCAGTGAGCAGAGATCGTGCCACTGCACTCCAGCCTGGATGACAGAGCAAGACCCCATCTAAAAAAAAAAAAAAACTTAAAGTAACTAAGGCTAAAGGTAGTTTCGATTGAGGTGGTAGTTGGCCTCCTATACCCCCTTTTTGTTTTTTCAACATGCATTGTAATGTTTGATGGGCCCATTCTATAATGACTTGTCCTCTAGCATCATAAGGAATTCCTGTTTTATGGGTTATAGCCCAAAGCTGTAAGAAATTTTGAAAAGCATGACTAGTATAAGCGGTTCCATTATCAGTTTTTAATTGTTTAAGTATCCCCATATGAGCAAATGATGACAATGTCGCCATACATGACCAGCTGTCTCACCTGCTTGGCATGTAGCATGCAGCATCTATAGTCACATGAACATAGCTAAGCTTACCAAAGGTAACTATTGTGTAACATCCATTTGCCAAACTTCATTTGGAGCCAAACCTCATGAGTTACAGCCTTCTACAGGTGTGGCTCCAGGGACATGCTGACAAGTAGGACAGGCTTGTATTATAGCCCTAGCTTGGCTGCAAGATAAATGGAACACGCAAGTAAGGGTGGAAGTATTTTGATGCAGAAGCGCATGAGATGCTTGAGCTTGCTGAAACACAGAACAAATCAATTTATATCTACTTTATCATTCCCTAGGGATAATGGTCCTGGAAGTTGTGTATGAGAACAAATATCAGAAATATGAAAAGGATCTGCATGAGAACGAGTAACTCGCTGAAGTCTTTTTTTGTTTTGTTTTGTTTTGTTTTTCACATTAGATGTTGGTAGAAATTTTTATTTTTTTAACTTTTAGGTTCGGTGAACATATGTAGGTTTGTTATATAAATAAATTGCATGTCACAGAAGTTTGGTGTACAGATTATTTTGCCACCCACATAATAAGCATAGAAACTGATAGGTAATTTTTGGATCCTCATCCTCTTCCCTCCCTCTATCCTCAAGCACGCCCCAGTGTCTGCTGTTCCTTTGTGTCCATGTGTACTCAATGTTTGGCTCCCACTTATATGTGTGAACATGATGTCTTAAAAATAAATTAAACAGTTCTGGGTCTAGTGTACTTTTAATTGTAGCAGTTTCTATGTGACTGGTTACATTTACAACATAAGCTGAATCACAGACAATGTTGATAGGATCTGAAGCTGCGAGCTGTAAAACCTGAATGACTGCAATTAGCTCTGAGCCTTGAGCTGAAGCCCCAGATGTCATTATTATTTGAGTATGTTTACGTCCATAGATAGCAGCATGACCTCTGGAAGAGCCATCAGTAAAGTAAGTCTGTCCACCTGCAATAGGCTTGTGATGAGTAATCACAGAAAGAATGAAAGAATGGATTTTATAAAACTGTAAAATTTTGTCTGAGGGGTAGTGATTATCTATAGCACCCATGAAATCTGCAAAAGCAATTTGCCAGGCAGTTGACATTTCCCAAGCTGTGGCTTGTTGCTGGGAGTCTAAAGGAACAATAATTTTGTCAGGGTCATATCCCATAAGCATTTTTGACCTATGCCTGCCCATAGTCACAATTTGTGTAATTAAAGAAAGATAAACTTGCAAGGTTTTGACTGTTTGATTAGGTAGAAAGAGCCATTCTATTACTGTTGCAGACTTGTCTATGAACTGGCCCAATAGTCCTGTTGGAGAGTGGGGGGTAGGAGGAATAAACAAAAGCAAAGGTTTTTGCAGTTGTAGCTGTGAGGCATGTCTCTGCTGTAACATTTTCTCTACAAGCCGTAATTCGGCTTCTGCCTCTTTAGTTAGTTGCCATGGGGAATTTAAAGTAGAATCTCCTTGCAGGGTTTGGTAAAGATGTGTAAGTTGATAGGTAGCAATACCTAACATTGGCTGTAGCCAATTAATATCTCCTAATAATTGTAGAAAATCATTTAAAGTCTGTAACCTGTCTTTACAGAGAACTACTTTCTGAGGCCGTACACTTCTCTCCATAACAATAATTCCTAAGTATTGGTATGGGGAAGTTGTTTGTACCTTTTTCAGAGCTATTTTGAGATTCCATTTAGTCAAAGCTTGCTTCGTTTCTCTGAATAACTGCTGTAGGATTTGATCTATAGGAGGGGCCAAAAGAATATCATCCATAAAATGAATGATGTAAGCAGTAGGAAACATATTCCGAGACTCCTTTAATGCCTGTCCTACAAAATGTTGACATAGCATGACTTGGGGGTAAAACTCTCCATTGATAACAAGAAACAGGTTCTCTTTGGTTAATAGAAGGCACAGAGAAGGCGAATCAAGGCTTATCCTTCTCATGTAAGAATATAGTAAAGAAACAATCCTTAAGATCTATTAATACAAGAGGCCAGACTCTTGGAATAGCCACTGAAGATGGTATACCTTTTTGTAAGGCATCCATCCATTTTATATGTGTATTAATAGCTCTTAAATCTTGTAGCAGTCACCATCTTCTGGACTTTTTTAGAATAACAAACACTGGAGAATTCCAGGAGCTAACTGACTCCTCTATGTGTCCAGCATCCCACTGATCTTTTACTGGCTGTTGAAGTTGTGTCGGCTTCTCCTGAGATAGGGGCCATTGATCCACCCACATGGGTTTGTCACTGAGCCATTCTAATGGTAAGGCAGTGGGCAGAGGAGAAATATCAATGACCTCCATCAGAAATCCTGACGTCCTAGCCCTTAGCTATCTGTTTTTCCAGTTACTGCTATTGGGTTAGGATTTCCCTGAAGAAATTTTCCTAAAGGTTTTCCCTGCTGATATCCCATGTTCTTTAACATTTTAAGTTCTGGGTTATCAAAAGTTTCATTTGTAAGTCTCATATCCCATGCTGTAAGTCTCAACCCCATAATTTGATGGCTATACTTGCAACATGAGGCTGAAAAGTACATGACTGTCCATCCACACCAAGACAAGATAAAATTTCAGCATACTGTTGAACACTTTGAGCTGTTCCTACTCCCATTAGGGACATAGAAGTTAATTGCAAGGGCCAGGATGGGGGGCCAATTGTCTTTACATATTACTGAAACATCAGCTCCCATATCCATAAGCCCATAAAATGTCTGTCCTTTAATTTGTACTACACAGGTGGCTCTATTAGAGGCTATGGGTTGGGATAGATAGATTTCCCAAGTAGTTGTGCTCCCAAACCCTTTATTTCCTCATTTCTCCTTTCATGGAGAAGGGTGTAATTTGCAGGGAATAAGCAATAATTGAGCAATATATTCTCCTGGTTCAAAAACCCAAAGATCTTGTGACATTAAAACTACTTGAATTTCTCCTTCATAATCAGAGCCAGTCACTACAGTAATGCCTTGCAAGTTAAGGCAGCTTTTGGCTAAAATTAGTCTCATATATCCTGCTGGTAAAGGTCCCCAAATGCCAGTGGGAACTTTCATAGGTTTGTCTCCACCAACTAAAGTGATTCTTTCTCTGGCGGGTAGATCTAATCCTGCACTTCCTGGTGTTCCTGGGGTGAGGGGATCAATGTGCCTCTGGGAACTGACCTCTGAAATGGGGTTGAGGTCTGGACTGGGAATGCCCTTATTGTTTGTGGGGCCTGGGTCCAGGCCCCCATCTCGTTTCCCAGCAGGGGGGTGCCATTCTGATGAAATTTTGAGTGGCACTGATTAGCCCAGTGATTTCCTTTCATACAGTGAGGACAGAATCCTGGTGTTTATTCTGCTGGGTGGGGCACTGCATTGTAAGGTCCTTTCTGTCCTGAGATCTGGCAGCATTCCTTTTTAAAATGTCCAGTTTTTCCACATTTATAATATTTTCCCGTTTTGGGGTTTGACCCTTGGCTCCTTTTAGATTTGTCAACTGATAAATTAGCTATTGCTTGTGCTAACATTGCAGAGTGATGAAGCTCAGTTCCTACATCTTGACAAGCTCTGAGAAAATTTCCCAAGTTTTTTGTACACCTCACCAGTGCCAGTGCACATTTACAATCCGTGTTTGCATCCTCAAAAGCTAGTGTTAAGGTTAGCATTTCTGCAGCCGCAGTATGAGAAATCTGACACTTCACTGCCTCTTGTAATCATGCAAGAAATTGCACATAGGGTTCCTGCAACCCTTGTATGATACATAAAAAGGATTGTACTGGGACTCCTTCAGGAATAGTGGCCCAGGTGCATTTAGTGGCCTGTGCACACTGCTGATAAGCAACATCTGGGAGTCCCATTTGAGGTTCCAGGTCTGAATAAGGGCCATTACCTAATAGCATATCCTCTGTAATGTCTCCATTTCCAGCAGCACAGTTCTGTCTAGCCTGGTCTGCACACATTTCTTGCCAATTTAAATTCCATGTCAGATATGCAGTAGCCGACAAGCAAATTCACGCCAAGTGTTTCACATCAAATGGTAAAAGACGCATAGCACCAAACACAGATTCTAGCAATCCTAAGGTGAATGGGTTCTGTACGCCATTGTTTACCACACTCGCTTTTAATTCCTTTAACAAGTTAAAATCTAGTGGAGTGTGTTCATGAATAACCTGCTGTGCATTGTTAGGATTAGGCCTTATGGAAATAGGAAAAGCGTGAGGTCCTAAGGGCTCTCCAGCTATTGCAGCAGAGCATAAAATTCTTTGTATTGGAGTCTCTATTTCTGCCACCAAAGGAGGCGGTACAAATGTTTCTGCAACTGGAGGAGGCAGTATAGGCCAACTTTTATCCTCCCTCTCCTGTTTTTTATTTTCAGTTGGAGCTGTGGGTGGGACAACAGATTCTTTTAGATTTTTAGATTCAGCCTGCTGTCCCGCAGAATAATGAGATAATAGCAGAAGTACAGTACAAACTAAACTCCAAGTGGAGAAAACAGAAGAATCAACTTCAAGACCTTTTTGATGAGCCTGTTTTAATCCTTCTCCTGCTCTATCCCAGTTTTCCACATCAAGAGTGCCTGCCTGTGGAAACCATGAGTTATGCATAATAACTTTGTGTGGCTTCTGCAGGAGGTTAGTGTCTGAGAATTAACCTGAGCTCCAGACTGTCTCAACAGAACTTTAAGCAACTGCACATAATGTTTTTCTTCAACAGACAAGTTATTCCCCCTGCTACCCTGATTCAGAAAGCTTCCCATTCCCAGCACTTCTATAAAGCACTGCTCCCAGTACCTCTTTAGAGCACTGACCTTATATATGCTGCCGGCAGACTCATCCTGGGGTCCCCGTTTGCCTTGTCAATTTCAGCTTCTCTGCTCCAGCAGATCTTTTTTGTTCACATCGTCGAAGTCCCGTGTTCAGACGCCACTTGTTGGCATCCTTGGCGTCCCTGTTCTGAGTCACCACTTGTTGAGAACCCAATTGTGTCACTGTTTGGGGCACCACTATGTAACCTGCATGGACCTAGGGGGACTGAACAAAGGGGGCAAACACGGGAATAAAAGACAAGAGGCAAAAGAGTATATTTGGAAGAAGGGGTCGGAGGGCACCTTGTCTCTAGTGGACAAGGGCCCTGAGCTTTACACTGCCCTCCATATTTATTAGGCAATAGAGATAGTGAGAAGGTGGGGAGTGGTTGTTGGCCAGCAGCTTGATTCGCAGCAGGCTTGCAAGACTGCATTCTTAGGTGCTAGACTTCTCAATAGATAACTTCAAGGAGCCCAGCGCCAGGGAGTGAGGCCCTCAACAAACCTTTTGGTGGCAGGGCAGTGTGAGTTTGCCCACATCCTGCATTCATGATAAACAGTTTGCTGTTTGATCCTATAGCCTCCAGCGAAATGCTGAGTTGGTCACTTCCCAGGGGCCTTCAGCTCCCTGCACCTCACATTCTGTATTTGTCCTGATTAGCCAGCAACTTAGAACTTTTTAAAAGAGGCAAAGGCAGAGGAGAACAAAGGAGGAAGTAACTTGTGGAATGCTGAGAAAGGTAAAAACACCTCCAAATAAGGAAGAGGAACAGACTATGACTTAATACTTGCTTGGACCAGTGTAAGCATGCCAGGGCAAATATTTAGGCTAAATTGTGGGAGCTAAGAACACAAAGTACATTGATTTCTTTATTATAGCTAGCAGATATCTAAGAATGTTAGCACAGGTCTTTGAATAAATTTTGTTTCTGAGAGAAGTTACTATTTATTCCTAATTAGACGGGGAGGAAAGTCTCTTTGAAGAGGAACCTCTATTTTATTTTTACACTCAGAAGCCCGGGCAGCTCTGCCGGGAGTGCAGGGAGGCAGCTCTCCTGGGGGTGCAGGTAGGCAGCTCTGCTGGGGGTGCGGGGAGGCAGCCAGGCTTTTGTTGCACTTCCATCTACTGGCAGCACACACAGAAAGGAAATACTCCCAGTGGCTAGATTCCACCCATCATATCATTGGACTGAGTGAAAACTTTCAGAACTCTAATTTAAAAAATGAATGCATTCATGAATATTACTAACCTAACATCCAGCTGAATAATAATTAAATACATGGGGCTAGCCTGACAGAGGGTGGAAATGCTTTCTTTAACTTTTCTCTTTGAAACATTGCTGATTATTTTATGTTTTGTTTTCCAGAGTCAAGAAAATGTCTCTTTTTAGCTAATTATAGCTTACAGCAACTGGGTAACCTTTTGTGAGCAAAATTAAAACATCTGCATTTCTCCCTACCTGATTTCTCTAAAATTTGGAAACTATTCATGAGTATTTGTATTTTGTGGCAATATAGTTATTTGCATAAGATCAATAAGAATCTGTTTTCTTTTGTAACAGAACACATTGGATACACCGGTTATTTTACCAAGGCTTTGGCTGGAATGTTACATTTTTGAATGTGACCAAACTGCTTTGAGGAATTGAGGCTGACTTTATAAAGCCAATAGACATGGGAAAGACTGGCCTCATGCCTTGCCCACACGGTTCTCTTACAAGGTTCCTCAGCTTGCGGTAAGTAAAGACTGTCATTTTCTGATGCACCCAGGAACCACAAGATATTTTGGGTCATTGAGAAGATAGGAATTCACTCAATTTTTACATATGTTACAAGCAGTCCCACAGTGAATCCCTGGCTTGGCTTACTAGTCTTTAGAGGTTTTAAAAGTGTAATCTGAGATTTCTTATTAAAAATTCTGCAAAGTCAATGGAAAAGAGCCTATATGGCCAATCATTCTTCTTGTTGCACATTTTGCAAATAATCAGGCCAAGTATAATACTAAAACTTATTTAGCCAATAAATTTGTCCTACTAACATTTATATTTGGTAGGAATGGGGAACTGGGGAGAGAAAAAAATTGTTTTAGAAGGAAACTATACCATCCTTCTTATAAGATTCTAGCCCTGACCATTGTTTTTTAGTTGTTTTTTAGTTTTTACTATTTGTCTACAATTTGGACTGAATTCTGAATAATGTCCCAGCTCTAACAATCCTCCAAAGAAGAAATTGGATTTAATTTCCTTCATGATATTTTTAGTTGACTCCCCAGTAGAATAGGTTTTGTTGTTGTTGTTCTGATATACAAATTCTTTTTTTGATTATAATTCCTATATGCATTACATATATCTCTTGTTTTACTTCTTCCACAAAGACTAAACTCATGATATTCTGAAGACTAACAATGATTCAACAAGCAACAGCAACTACATACTTGACTGAGGTGCCATTTTTGCCACCTGTGATGCCATCTCAATTTGGCTTTTGACAGTCTTAAAATTCCTCATTGTAACATTTCCTCACCTCTCCTTCCCATGTGAGACAGCACCATCATGAGCCTTCTCAAACTGAAGGAGGAAGGATATTGATCACTCTAACCTAAGCAGAAATTGATCATTAATGTTTCCATGGAAAGATTTTTGATCAACAGGTGGGAAATGAGAAAAAAAATTGCTCAGAGCCATCTAAGTTATGTGAAGCATACAAAATTTGTCAGGCCCAGAGAGACATGAGTATGGTTATGGGACCTCAATCACACCTCTCACACCCATACCCAGGGCCAACTGTTTAAAGACATTTTGTTCCTGACTAGCTGCTTTGCCCATTATCTTCATGTTCCTGGAGTTTGTGATACAAAGAACAGTGTATAACCAATCAATAGCTTATGTTATTTTAATGTAAATTCTTGGTAAACAACTTGGGAACTGCCTCTTTGTTTCCTTTAAAACCCACTTGTAACTGCTGCTCATAGGGGTGTATATTCAGGTTAACTTGCATCTACGCTCTTGCGTTGCAGTGTTCAAGCTTAGTCCAAATGAACTCTCTACTTACATTGTTTGCCTCGATTTTTTTTCTTCTTTCCGTTGACATATCAATGCAAGGGACCGGAGCAAATATTCCTAGACTGAAACAGATTAAATGCAAGAAAGAGAAGAAAACTTGAAAATATGCATTATCATTGTAGAGAGACTCAATGATTTTTAAAAGAGCATATTCTCAAAAAAAAAGAGATCAATTTTAAAACAATATAGGGGAAATCTTAAAATGGTTTTAAAAATAACTCTGTGGAGAAATGGAGTAACAAAATAGATAACACTGAATACCAAATGATGAGTTAGAAATTCACAGAATGAATTTGATTGAAATTCACGTAAAATTAATGAGAAGTAAAAATTATCATGAAAAAGATAGGAAACATGGAGAATTGATCTGATAGCTCCAATACTCATAGGAGTTTAGATTAAAAAGCAGAAGTGGGGTGGAAGCTATACCCCAAAATAAAAAAGAGCAGAAATAAAAGCAAATCTCATTTTTGCTACACTGGAACTAGAAAACAGTGAAATAATGTTTAGAGTTTCTTTCTTCTTCTTCTTTTTTTTTTTTGACAAAGTCTCCCTCTTGTCCCCTAGGCTGTAGTGCAATGGTGCGATCTCAGCTCACTGCAACCTCTGTGTCCTGGGTTCAAGTGATTCTCCTGCCTTGGCCCCCTGAGTAGCTGGGATTACAGGTGCCTGCCACCACACCCAGCTAATTTTTTTATTTTTAGTAGAGACGGTGTTTCACCATGTTGGCCAGGCTGGTCTAGAACTCCTGAACTCGGGTGATCCACCCACCTCGGCCTCCCAAAGTGCTGGGATTACAGGAGTGAGCCACCGATCCCAGCCTGTTTAGAGTTTCTTAAAGCATAACTATTGAAACCCAGGAATTGTATAGCCAACCAAACCTGTGGCATATAGAAAAATTATTTTAAAATAAAAGCTTTAGGCAAAATAAATTTAATAGAATTTATTTTAGCAAAGAACAATTCATGAATCAAGTATTGGGGGTCAGGAAGTGTTGCCCCAAAGACTGGCACTTTGATATGCTGAGTGGCCTAGAAGCTGCCTCAGAATCAAGGTCCCTCCAACCTTGTCTTACCCCCAGACACACACCTGCATTGCAGGAAGGGGCTGTCTCTGGGATTTTCTTATCTGTCCCGGAAAGCTTCTTTCCAAAAACAATGCAATTGCCTTTCTTCTCCTTCCTGAAATCTCATTACAGATCACAAAAAAAGGAGACAGGAATGCAACCTCACCTGGAAGGACTTTTTCATAAGAAAATAACAATCTCTCAGGTTCATTCAAATTCCAAAAAGAATCATTTACAAGTTAAGTTCTGTCCATTTGCTTCCCCTAATAATCATTTGCTACCCCTCAAAAGAATTGTCTACATTCCCCATCTCCCTCCCCTCCTATGAAAAGGGTATATAAGTTTCTGTGTCCCATTGGGTTATTGGGTAATCATTCTCCTGCAGTTCCCCCAGGCTATACACGTTAAAATAACTTTTGCATGCCTTTTCTCCTATTGATCTGCCTTGTGAGTTGATTTTCAGCAAACCTTCAGAGAGGGCTACTGGTTGCCCATTTTTATGGTTATTTCTTGATTATATGCTAAGCAAGGGATGGATTATTCATGAGTTTTCTGGGAAAGGAGTGGACAATTCCTGGAACTACGGGTTCATCCCCTTTTTAGACCAAATAGTGTAATTTCCTGACATTGCCATGACGTTTGTAAACTTTCATGGCACTAGTGGGAGTGTCTTTCAGCATGCTAATGAATTATAATTAGCATATAATGAGCTGTGAGGATGCCCAGAAGTCACACTCCTTGCCATCTTGGTTTTGGTGAGTTTTGACCAGCTTCTTTACTGTAACCTATTTTATCTGCCAGGTCTTTATGACCTGTATCTCCTGCCAACCTCTTATCTCATGCTGTGACTAAGAATGCCTTAACCTCCTGGGAATGCAGCTCAGTAAGTTCCATCCTTATTTTACCCAACCTCTATACAAGATGGAGTCACTCTGGTTTAAATGCCTCTGACAACTCCATTTTGGTTTGATCTATTAGGGCACAATGCAGGAGCTCAGTCTAAATCAATAGCCTCCTGTAAATTTTATTTAACAAAGGCAAATGGAAAACTGTTTTAGACATGCAAGGATGCAGAATGTATAACAATTATACAACATTTGAAAAAAATAACTGTTGGAGAAACTGAAACCAAATAAAAGTTCTTCTGAAAAAAACAGCTGAAGAAAAGGGAACATGTAGGATACAAAAGTGATAAGCCATTTTTAAATCAGAAAATCTTATAGTTCAATTTTAAAATAATTTGTCATGTATAACAACATATAATGTAATAATAAATGAAAGGCTATGAAAAGAGGTATAATAGAAAAAATAACAACAGTATTATACTAAAATATCTGATTATTTTCACAAACCTGGGAATGATAGCTGGGGAAAACAAGAAAATGCTTGCTTAAAGCCTTACCAATTAAAGGAATTACATAAAGGTTCTGCTCTCCAACCCAGACAAACCACAAAATAGCAAATGTTGAAACTCAACATCTGTTAAGTGATTATCATATGCCAGGCATAGCTCTAAGTACTTTACATTTATTATTAAATAACTCCTTTAATAAGTCTCAAATATTTAAACTATCCTGTAGGACAGGGCTACTGCAAGTGTAATTCTGGATCAGCAAGGACTAAGAGCTTGTTAGAAATGCAAGTTTTTGGGCCCCACCCCAGACCAACTGAATCCAAATCTCTGGGGAGGTGTCCATGAATCTGTTTTAATCAGCTCTCCAGGTGATGCTTTTGCACCCTAAAATTTGAGAAGCACACATCTCCTCAGTTAACGTGCTAGGATGAACTGGTATATTTCAAATGCATTAAAAGTTTACCAGGAAATAATGATCTTCTTAGACTTCTGAGAGCCCAGGCAACACCTGAAGCAACCAGAGTCCCAGAACATTGTCACTGTCCTCTCTGTGGGCTTCTCAGAAACTGGCTGAAACAGACGTGTGTCTGATGGGACCCTCTGTTCCCCACAGACAGTGAGCACTGTAAGTGATGTCTGGCATCACCACTCTGCCGGAAGCCACTGAGTGAAGGCTAGGAGATGCTTTAAACAATGTGCTGCTGCCTTGGTGGCTAAGAGGTTCCAGGTGCCCAGAGGAGTGCAGCATACACGCAATAATGTAGCTCATTCAGAGAATCAGAGTGGGCAGTTATCAGTTAGGGGCCTCTTGTGGGCACAGCTCTAGAAGGTGGCCCCAAATCTCTGCCTTTACATAGTCTTATGCTCATTTCCGTCTTAACTACCTGGTAGCAACTGTTCTTGCTTTGCATGTGCGTGCTGCAGAATAGCACTTCCTTATGATGAAAGAAAAACTTAAGTACATTTCAATTTTAGAGAGTTTATCGGAGCATTCAGAGATTCAAGAATTGGGGCAGCACCAGACCACAAGGGGCTATCACTCCATCAAGAAAGGCAAGAGGGGAAACTTTCATGCGCGTCCGTGTGAAGAGACCACCAAACAGGGTTTGTGTGAGCAACATGGCTGTTTATTTCACCTGGGTGCAGGCGGGCTGAGTCCGAAAAGAGAGTCAACAAAGGGAGATAAGGGTGGGGCCGTTTTATAGGATTTGGGTAGGTAAAGGAAAATTACAGTCAAAGGGGGTTTGTTCTCTGGCGGGCAGGAGTGGGGGTCGAAAGGTGCTCAGTGGGGGTGCTTTTTGAGCCAGGATGAGCCAGGAAAAGGACTTTCACAAAGTAATGTCATCACTTAAGGCAAGGACTGGCCATTTACCCTTCTTTTGTGGTGGGATGTCATCAGTTAAGGTGGGGCAGGGCATATTCACTTCTTTTGTGATTCTTCAGTTACTTCAGGCCATCTGGGCATATACGTGCAAGTCACAGGGGATGCGATGGCTTGGCTTGGGCTCAGAGGCTTGACATTCCTGCCTTCTTATATTAATAAGAAAAATAAAATAGTGTTGAAGTGCTGGGGCGGTGAAAATTTTTTGGGGGGTGGTATGGAGAGAGAGTGGGCGATGTTTCTCAGGGCTGCTTCAAGCGGGATTGGGGCGGCGTGGGAACCTAGAGTGGGAGAGATTAAGCTGAAGGGAGGTCTTGTGGTAAGGGGTGATATTGCGGGGATGTTAGAAGAAACATTTGTCGTATAGAATGATTGGTGATGGCCTGGATACAGTTTTGTATGAATTGAAAAACTAAATGGAATAACAGAAGGAGAAAAACAGGTATAAAAGGTCTAAGAATTGGGACGACTCAGGATAGCTGACTAGAGAGTGCCTAAGGAGATTCAGCATAGTCCTGCCAGCAAAGATTATTTATTTACTTCAAGAGTTAAGAGTGGCAGTTTGGGGATAGCACCAGGAGATATCAGCTGTGATGGCTTGGAAAAACAGTGTAAACCGGCAGTGTAAACAAGAGCAGGACATGTATGAGTAGTTGAGAATGGTGAATAGGAGTATGACTAGACAGAAGATAGTAGGGATGACAAGTTTTTTTGGGGGCACAGTCTAAGTTGGTCTGGTGTCTGGAATGAGACTGGGGCCTAACAAAAAGGAGAGTCTATACAGGAGCTTAAATGGGCTGTACCCTGTAGCATTCCGAGGACAGGCCTGAATTCTGAGAAGGAAAAGTGGTAAAAGTATTGTTCAGTCCTTTTTAAGTTGGTGGCTGAGCTTGGTGAGGTGTGTTTTTAAAAGACCTTTAGTCCATTCTACTTTTCTTGAAGATGGAGGACTGTAAGGGATATAAAGGTTTCACTGAATACTAAGAGCCTGAAAAACTGCTTGGCTGATTTGACTAATAAAGGCTCATCTGTTATCAGACTGTATTGAGGTGGGAAGGCTAAACTGAGGAATTATGTCTGACAGAAGGGAAGAAATGACTGCGGTGGCCTTCTCAGACCCTGTAGGAAAGGCCTTTACTTATTCAGTGAAAGTGTCTATTTAGACTAAGAGGTATTTTAGTTTCCAGACTCGGGCATGTTGAGTAAAGCTAATTTGCCAGTCCTGGGTGGGGGCAAATCCTTGAACTTGATGTGTAGGGAAGGGAGGGGGCCTGAATAATCCCTGAGGAGTAGCAGAATAGCAGATGGAACACTGAGAAGTTATTTCCTTGAGGATAGATTTCCATGATGGAAAGGAAATGAGAGGTTCTAAGCGGCAGGCTAGTGGCTTGTACTATAGCATAACCTGCCTTTGCTGGTGTGCAGCGATTAGGCTCGGTGGAACCATCATCAATAAATCAAGCGTGATCAGGGTGAGGAACAGGAAAGAAGGAAATCTGGGGAAATGGGGTGAATGTCAGGTGGATCAGAGAGATACAGTCATGGGGGTCAGGTGTGGTATCAGGAATAATGTGGGAGGCTGGATTGAAGTCTGGGCCAGGAACAACGGTAATTGTGGGAGACTCAACAAAGAGTGAGTACAGCTGAAGGAGCCGGGAAGCAGAAAGTATATGCATCAGGTATGAGGAAGAAAATAGATTTTTGAAGTTATGAGAACTGTAGAGAGTGAGTTGAGCATAGTTTGTGATTTTGAGGGCCTCTAAAAGTATTAAAGCAGCGGCAGCCGCTGCACGCAGACATGAGGGCTAGGCTAAAACAGTAAGGTCAAGTTGGACAGAAAGGCTACAGGGTATGGTCCTGGCTCTTGTGTAAGAATTCTGACCGCACTAACCATGCCTACGAAGGAAAGAAGTTGTTGTTTTGTAGAAGGAGCTTGGATTTGAGAGATCAGTCGGACACGATTGGCAGGGACAGCACGTGTGTTTTTATGAGAATTATGCCGAGATAGGTAACAGATGAGGAAGAAATTTGGGCTTGATTGAAGCAATGGGGGCTGTCTGTGAAGCTTTGCTGCAGTACAGCCTAGGTAATTTGCTGAGCTTGATGAGTGTCGGGGTCAGTCCAAGTGAAAGCGAAGAGAGGCTGGGATGAAGGGTGAAAAGGAATAGTAAAGAAAGCATGTTTGAGATCCAGAACAGAATAATGGGTTGTAGAGGCAGGTATTGAGGATAGGAGAGTATATGGGTTTGGCACCACAGGGTGGATAGGCAAAACAATTTGGTTGATAAGGCGCAGATCCTGAACTAACTTCTAAGGCGTGTCTGGTTTTAGGACAGGTAAAATGGGGGAATTGTAAGGAGAGTTTATAGGCTTTAAAAGGCCATGCTGTAGCAGGCGAGTGATAACAGGCTTCAATCTTTTTAAAGCATGCTGTGGGATGGGATATTGGTGTTGAGTGGGGTAAGGGTGATTAGGTTTCAATGAGATGGTAAGGGGTGCATGATCGGTCACCAAGGAGGGAGTAGAGGTATCTTATACTTGTGGGTTAAGGTAGGGGGATACAAGAGGAGGACGCAAAGAGGCTTTGGATTGGGAAGAAGGGTGGCAATGAGATATAGCTGTAGTCCAGGAATAGTCAGGGAAGCAGATAATTTAGTTAAAGTGTCTCAGCCTAATAAGGGAACTGGGCAGGTGGGGATAACTAAAAAGGAGTGCTTAAAAGAGTATTGTCTAAGCTGGCACCAGAGTTGGGGAGTTTTAAGAGGTTTAGAAGCCTGGCCGTCAACACTCACAACAGTTATGGAGGCAAGGGAAACAGGCCCTTGAAAAGAAGGTAATGTGGAGTGGGTAGCCTCCGTACTGATTAAGAAGGGGATGGGCTTATCTTCCACTGTGAGAGTTACCTGAAGCTCAGCGTCCGTGATGGTCTGGGGGCTTCTGAGGTGATCAGGCAGTGTCAGTCTTCAGCCGCTAAGCCGAGAAGATCTGGGAAGGAGTCAGTCAGAGAGCCTTGGGCGAGAGTTCCAGGGCTCTGGGAGTGGCTGCCAGGTGAGTTGAACAGTCCATTTTCAGTGGGGTCCCACACAGATGGGACGCAGCTTAGGAGGAATCTCAGGCTGCGGGCATTCCCTGGCCCAGTGGCCAGATTTCTGGCACGTGTAGCAAGCTCCTGTGGGAGGAGGTTCTGGAGGAATGCCTGGCCACTGCGGTTCAGGTGTTTGGAAGTTCTTGTGTGCTGGAGATGTGGCTGGGGTTTGTCTCACAGTGGAGGCAAGGAGTTGCAACTTTTTTCTGTTATTGTACACCTTGAAGGTGAGGTTAATTAAATCCTGTTGTGGGGTTTGAGGGCCGGAATTTAATTTTTGGAGTTTTATTTAATGTCGGGAGCAGATTGGGTAATAAAATGTGTTTTGAGAATAAGACGGCCTTTTGACCTTTTAGGGTCTAGGGCTGTAAAGTGTCTCAGGGTTGCTGCCAAACAAGTCATGAACTGGGCTGGATTTTTATATTTGATGAAAAAGAGCCTAAACGCTATCTGGTTTGGGATAAAGAAAAAGGAGCATTAACCTTGACTGTGCCTTTAGCTCTAGCCACCTTTTTAAGAGTAAATTGCTGGGCAGGAGGGGGAGGGCTAGTCATGGAACGAAACTGTAAGCCGGACCAGGTGTGAGAAGGGGCAATGATAAAAAGATTCTAGGGTGGAGGAGCAGAGGCTGAGGAAGAATAGGGACCTAGCTCGGCCTGGCGAGGAGCAGCCTGGGGAGGAAGGGAGAGGTCAGATGGGTCTGTAGAAAAGGAAGATTAGAAAGACTCAGAGACACTTGGGGTTGGTACTGAGGGGACAGGCAGGAGGGAAAGAAGGAAGATTTGGGATGAGTTGCACTGGGCACAGAGACTAGGAAGGCCCTGTTGTGTAAAAGAATGCCTGGATGTCAGGCACCTCAGACCGTTTGCCTATTTTATGACAAGAATTATTTAGATCTTGTAGGATGGAAAAATTCAAAGTGCCATTTTCTGGCTATTTGGAACTACTGTCGAGTTTGTATTGGGGTCAGGCGGCATTGCAGAAGAAAATAAGGCATTTAGGTTTTAGGTCAGGTGTGAGTTGAAGAGGTTATAAGTTTTTGAGAACACAGGCCAAGGGAGTAGAAGGAGGAATGGAGGGTGGAAGGTTGCCCATAGTGAAGGAAGCAAGCCTAGAGAAAAGAGAGAGTAGAGAAACGGAGGGAAGGGGTTTGGGGGTTCTTACCTTCCAAAAAAGTGGGAAAAGGGGTTGGGGCACAGAGATAAGAGGTCGGAGCATGGAAATAAGGGATTGGGGTGCAGAAATGAGGGATTGGGGCACAGAGATATGAGGTTGGGGCACGGAAATAAGGGATTGGGGCACAGAGATATGAGGTTGGGGTGTGGAAATAAGGGATTGGGGCACAGAGATAAGAGGTTGGGGTGTGGAAATAAGGGATTGAGGGTTCTTGCCCCATAGAAAAGTGGGACTTGCCACTAAGGGTGAAGGAGAAGGGGTTGAGGGGTACTTGCCCCTGCCCCAGAAAAGCGGGACTTGCCGCTAAGGGTGAAGGACCAAGGCAGGCATCCCTGCGTGGTCTGACACCCTTGAAACGTGAGTGTATAATCAGAGAGGCATCCCTGCAATCATTAAACACCAAGGGAAGGCTGCCTTCCCAGTCCGTGACTGGCCCCGGAGTTTTGGGTCCCCGGATAAAATGTGTCTCCTTTGTCTCTCCCAGAAAATGAAAGGAATTGAAATTAAGAGAAGGGAGAGATTGAAGAGTGGAAAGGAGAAAGTGGTTGAGGGACAGTGAGAGAGGTTGGAGAAGAGAGTAAGAAGAGGCCGCTTACCTGATTTGAAATTGGTGAGATGTTTCTTGGGCTGGTCGGTCTGAGGACCTGAGGTCCTAGGTGGATCTTTCTCATGGAGCAAAGAACAGGAGGACTGGGGATTGATCTCCCAAGGGAGGTCCCCCGATCCGAGTCACGGCACCAAATTTCATGTGCGTCTGTGTGAAGAGACCACCAAACAGGGTTTGTGTGAGCAACATGGCTGTTTATTTCACCTGGGTGCAGGCGGCTGAGTCCGAAAAGAGAGTCAACAAAGGGAGATAAGGGTGGGGCTGTTTTATAGGATTTGGGTAGGTAAAGGAAAATTACAGTCAAAGGGGGTTTGTTCTCTGGTGGGCAGGAGTGGGGGTCGAAAGTTGCTCAGTGGGGGTGCTTTTTGAGCCAGGAAAAGGACTTTCACAAGGTAATGTCATCACTTAAGGCAAGGACCGGCCATTTACCCTTCTTTTGTGGTGGAATGTCATCAGTTAAGGTGGGGCAGGGCATATTCACTTCTTTTGTGATTCTTCAGTTACTTCAGGCCATCTGTGCATATACGTGCAAGTCACAGGGGATGCGATGGCTTGGCTTGGGCTCAGAGGCCTGACAGAAACTTTATAAAGTTTTTGCAGAAGCAAGACAAAGAAAATAATTTTGATGGGTTAGAAATTAGTTGGTGGTTTCTGATTGGTGCTGTTTCTAGTTTCGATTTACTGATTACACTGGACTCTGGTTGGTTCACATAGGAATTTAGAGTGCCAAAGCCACCTTGGTCTAATGGCCTCCCAATTAGATTCTTTTAACAATTATCATTTTGAAATATTCAACATGAAAAACATTGAAATAGTTATGAAATCCATGCTCATTATCACAATAAATTGTAACATTACACTTGTCAATGAAAAAAAAAGAAACTGTTAGATTTTTAAGTTTCATAAACCAAAAATAAAATTCTAAGGCCCCCAACCTACTGATGGACTCCCCTCTCGGCCACTGGCATTCCAAAGTAAACCTGAAAAACTAGTTCAGACCATGACCGGAAGAGGTAGGTTAGACATGTGTCATTATAACTTCCTCCCTTTGGAATTCAGATGCAATTGACCAGCACTACCATTAAAACAGAGATCTTAACACAGAAACAGACCCTTTGTAACAGTAAGATACCAAATTCAAACCTGATTCTAGTATGGTGATTCATGACAGATAGTAGGTCCTGAAAGAAATTGAAATTATTTTCCCCAAAATATATTTCTTTGACATGTTCTTAAATGGCATGGCCCTGCAAAGCTGTCTCTTGTGTGGAAAATCCACATTCTGTAGAGAATCGTCTTCCCTTTCCATGTCTTTTCCCTGATCCAGGAGAGAATTAATTAAAAGTATGGAACCTTTTTAGGTCTGATAAGAGCTTTGAAGCCTGGTACCTGGGGTCTCCATCTGCATAATAAAAATCTTGGTGTCCACAACTTCTTATCTTAACCCAAACACTCCTTTCTATTGATTCCAGGCTTTAGATAATAACTCTTCCAATCAATTGCTAATCAGAAAATCTTTGAATCTACCTGTGACCTGAAAGCTCCCACTTCAAGTTATCCCATGTTTCTGCAGAGAAACACTGTACACCTCCTTATACATATTGATTGATGTTTGCCTGTAACTTTAATGTATAAAATCAAGCCATAAACCAACTACCTTGGGCACATGTTCTCAGGACCTTCTGGGGCTGTGTTATAGGTCATGGTCATCACATTTGGCTCACAATAAATCTCTGCAAATATTTTACAGTTTGACTCTTTTCGTCAACAATTTTTATCAACTACCTTGTCAGAATGGTTTGTTTTGTTTTGTTTCAGAGACAGGGTCTCTCTCACTCTGTCACCCAAGCTGGAGTACAGGGGCATGATCACAGCTCACCCACTACCTTGGCCTCCCAGGCTCAAGTGATCCTCCTGCCTCAGCCTCACAAGTAGCTGGGACCACAGGCACATGCCACCATGCCTGGCTAGTTTTTTATTTTTATTTTTGTAGAAACGGGGTCTCCCTATGTTGCCCAGGCTGGTCTCATACTCCTTGGCTTAAGTGACCCTTCCAGCCCAGCCTCCCAAAGTGCTGGGATTACAGGCATGAGCCACCATGCCTGGCCATTTTTATATTCATGACAACTATCAAAACTGTAAAGGAAACATCCCTAAGATGTCTTGATCAGAAATTGCATGTTGCAGTTTCAAGCATAGAAACTGATATTAGAAAACTTTACTTGCGGAAACAACCTCAAATTCCTTCTCCTAATTTCTGAAAACACTTTATTAGAAGTATACAAATTTAATATTTAATGTCTTATCTAATACTTTGTTAATCTTATAATTATGGCATATAAAATAAAATACTTTTTTCATCATAAAGATGTCCCCAAATGTCTTCTTGTTTTCTTATCTCTGTGTGCCATAAATTGAACAGTTTTGAATATTGTTTATCCTTTTGATTGCACTGAAGTCTGGTGTTTGGAAAAATAGTTCTTTTACTTACTTCTGTATTTATGTAAAATTTTAAAATAAGCATGTATTACTTTTGTGATTAAAACTTATCATAAATATTTAAAGTAAATTAAAATAAATAGTAAAGTAATATAGCATAATATAATTAGCAATATTTTCTTTAAAAATAAATAATATTTCTAGCTTTCTTTTGATTAGTGAAAAATGAAAAAATGCAAATTTAAAAAAAGAAAAAGTAAATAATACTAGATCACAGGTCACAAAACAGACACTCTGGAATGCTATAGTATAGTAGGTCAAACAATACAACCTTCCTTATTGGCAATTTGACAATATGCATCAAACATCTAAACAATGTTCAAAACCTTCAACCCAACAATCCTTTTTCCAAAATCTAGTCTAAAGGAATTAATTTTAAACAGTTAAATAATTTCACTGGAGAAAAAATTTTTTTTTAAGATTCTTTTTTTTTTCTTTTTTTTCTTTATTATACTTTAAGTTTTAGGGTACATGTGCACATTGTGCAGGTTAGTTACATATGTATATATGTGCCATGTTGGTGCACTGCACCCACTAACTCGTCATCTAGCATTATGTATATCTCCCAATGCTATCCTTCCCCCCTCCCCCCACCCCACAACAGTCCCCAGAGTGTGATGTTCCCCTTCCTGTGTCCATGTGATCTCATTGTTCAATTCCCACCTATGAGTGAGAATATGCAGTGTTTGGTTTTTTGTTCTTGCGATAGTTTACTGAGAGTGATGATTTCCAATTTCATCCATGTCCCTACAAAGGACATGAACTCATCATTTTTTATGGCTGCATAGTATTCCATGGTGTATATGTGCCACATTTTCTTAATCCAGTCTATCATTGTTGGACATTTGGGTTGGTTCCAAGTCTTTGCTAT
This sequence comes from Homo sapiens, assembly GCF_000001405.40. NCBI lineage: Eukaryota > Metazoa > Chordata > Mammalia > Primates > Hominidae > Homo > Homo sapiens. The sequence continues at coordinate 152,202 of NT_187583.1, forward strand.
TGTGAATAATGCCGCAATAAACATACATGTGCATGTGTCTTTATAGCAGCATGATTTATAGTCCTTTCGGTATATACCCAGTAATGGGATGGCTGGGTCAAATGGTATTTCTAGTTCTAGATCCCTGAGGAATCACCACACTGACTTCCACAATGGTTGAACTAGTTTACAGTCCCACCAACAGTGTAAAAGTGTTCCTATTTCTCCACATCCTCTCCAGCACCTGTTGTTTCCTGACTTTTTAATGATTGCCATTCTAACTGGTGTGAGATGGTATCTCATTGTGGTTTTGATTTCCATTTCTCTGATGGCCAGTGATGATGAGCATTTTTTCATGTGCTTTTTGGCTGCATAAATGTCTTCTTTTGAGAAGTGTCTGTTCATGTCCTTCACCCACTTTTTGATGGGGTTGTTTGTTTTTTTCTTGTAAATTTGTTTGAGTTCATTGTAGATTCTGGATATTAGCTCTTTGTCAGATGAGTAGGTTGCAAAAATTTTCTCCCGTTTTGTAGGTTGCCTATTCACTCTGATGGTAGTTTCTTTTGCTGTGCAGAAGCTCTTTAGTTTAATTAGACCCCATTTGTCAATTTTGTCTTTTGTTGCCATTGCTTTTGGTGTTTTAGACATGAAGTCCTTGCCCATGCCTATGTCCTGAATGGTATTGCCTAGGTTTTCTTCTAGGGTTTTTATGGTTTTAGGCCTAACATTTAAGTCTTTAATCCATCTTGAATTGATTTTTGTATAAGGTGTAAGGAAGGGATCCAGTTTCAGCTTTTTACATATGGCTAGCCAGTTTTCCCAGCACCATTTATTAAATAGGGAATCCTTTCCCCATTGCTTGTTTTTCTCAGGTTTGTCAAAGATCAGATAGTTGTAGATATGCGGTGTTATTTCCGAGGGCTCTGTTCTGATCTATATCTCTGTTTTGGTACCAGTACCATGCTGTTTTGGTTACTGTAGCCTTGTAGTATAGTTTGAAGTCAGGTAGCGTGATGCCTCCAGCTTTGTTCTTTTGGCTTAGGATTGACTTGGCAAAGTGGGCTCTTTTTTGGTTCCATATGAACTTTAAGGTAGTTTTTTCCAATTCTGTGAAGAAAGTCATTGGTAGCTTGATGGGGATGGCATTGAATCTATAAATTACCTTGGGCAGTAAGGCCATTTTCACGATATTGATTCTTCCTACCCATGAGCATGGAATGTTCTTCCATTTGTTTGTATCCTCTTTTATTTCCTTGAGCAGTGGTTTGTAGTTCTCATTGAAGAGGTCCTTCACATCCCTTGTAAGTTGGATTCCTAGGTATTTTATTCTCTTTGAAGCAATTGTGAATGGGAGTTCACTCATGATTTGCTTCTCTGTTTGTCTGTTGTTGGTGTATAAGAATGCTTGTGATTTTTGTACATTGATTTTTGTATCCTGAAACTTTGCTGAAGTTGCTTATCAGCTTAAGGAGATTTTGGGCTGAGACAATGGGGTTTTTCAGATATACAATCATGTCGTCTGCAAAGAGGGACAGTTTGACTTCCTCCTTTCCTAATTGAATACCCTTTATTTCCTTCTCCTGCCTAATTGCCCTGGCTAGAACTTCCAACACTATGTTGAATAGGAATGGTGAGAGAGGGCATCCCTGTCTTGTGCCAGTTTTCAAAGGGAATGCTTCCAGTTTTTGCCCATTCAGTATGATATTGGCTGTGGGTTTGTCATAGATAGCTCTTATTATTTTGAGATATGTCCCATCAATACCTAATTTATTGAGAGTTTTTAGCATGAAGGGTGGTTGAATTTTGTCAAAGGCCTTTTCTGCATCTATTGAGATAATTATGTGGTTTTTGTCTTTGGGTCTGTTTATATGCTGGATTACATTTATTGATTTGTGTATATTGAACCAGCCTTGCATCCCAGGGATGAAGCCCACTTGATCATGGTGGATAAGCTTTTTGATGTGCTGCTGGATTCATTTTGCCAGTATTTTATTGAGGATTTTTGCATCAATGTTCATCAAGGATATTGGTCTAAAATTCTCTTTTTTGGTTGTATCTCTGCCTGGCTTTGGTATCAGAATGATGCTGGCCTCATAAAATGAGTTAGGGAGAATTCCCCCTTTTTCTATTGATTGGAATAGTTCCAGAAGGAATGGTACCAGTTCCTCCTTGTACCTCTGGGAGAATTTGGCTGTGAATCCATCTGGTCCTGGACTCTTTTTGATTGGTAAGCTATTGATTATTGCCACAATTTCAGCTCCTGTTATTGGTCTATTCAGAGATTCAACTTCTTCCTGGTTTAGTCTTGGGAGAATGTATGTGTTGAGGAATTTATCCATTTCTTCTAGATTTTCTAGTTTTTTTGCATAGAGGTGTTTGTAGTATTCTCTGATGGTAGTTTGTATTTCTGTGGGATCAGTGGTCATATCCCCTTTATCATTTTTTATTGTGTCTATTTGATTCTTCTCTCTTTTTTTCTTTATTAGTCTTGCTAGCGGTCTATCAATTTTGTTGATCCTTTCAAAAAACCAGCTCTTGGATTCATTAATTTTTTGAAGGGTTTTTTGTGTCTCTATTTCCTTCAGTTCTGCTCTGATTTTAGTTATTTCTTGCCTTCTGCTAGCTTTTGAATGTGTTTGCTCTTGCTTTTCTAGTTCTTTTAATTGTGATGTTAGGGTGTCAATTTTGGATCTTTCCTGCTTTCTCTTGTGGGCATTTAGTGCTATAAATTTCCCTCTACACACTGCTTTGAATGTGTCCCAGAGATCCTGGTATGTTGTGTCTTTGTTCTCGTTGGTTTCAAAGAACATCTTTATTTCTGCCTTCATTTCGTTATGTACCAACTAGTCATTCAGGAGCAGGTTGTTCAGTTTCCATGTAGTTGAGCGGTTTTGAGTGAGATTCTTAATTCTGAGTTCTAGTTTGATTGCACTGTGGTCTGAGAGATATTTTGTTATAATTTCTGTTCTTTTACATTTGCTGAGGAGAGTTTTACTTCCATGTATGTGGTCAATTTTGGAATAGGTGTGGTGTGGTGCTGAAAAAAATGTATATTCTGTTGATTTGGGGTGGAGAGTTCTGCAGACATCTATTAGGTCCGCTTGGTGCAGAGCTGAGTTCAATTCCTGTGTATCCTTGTTGACTTTCTGTCTCGTTGATCTAGAAAAATTTTTTAAAATTTTTTTTGCAGGGAAAATGCTGTGCATATAATTAGCAGTGCTTTTTATGACTTGATAAAATTCAAAACACCTTAAACATCCAAAAATAGGGAATGAGCAAATAAATAATTTTCCATGTTCTGATGAAAAACTATGTTTATGAAAATTTTGTGGTAACATAAACAATGTGTAAGTCACTAACTTAAATAAAATACACACTTGAATAATCTTATGATCCAAGTTATATAAAAAGCAAGATTTATCTTCAAGAAAAAAAAACACTTGGAACTCAAATTATGTGCAGCTTTTCATGGTAGAAATTTTTTTTTCTGCTTATTTTCTTTGAGAAGCATGTATTGGAAAAAAGTATTAACTTTTATATTTGAAACAAGCTTGCGTGATTTGCTTTCTGTTTCAAGTTTACTTGGAACATCAGCCACCTCTAAGCATCTTTGGTGAAGGGGGTTATAAAACCTTTAAATCTGTCCATATTATGGGTTGCTATTTGCCTGGATTTTCTGGAAGAAAACTGTAACTCTATTTCACTTCTAGGATATTATTTTTCTTGTCAAACTTTATTCATGACTACCAGTATTACAGCTCCATAATTTCTTTTTCAGATCTAAACAGAAAAAAATATAATTTAAAATTTTCTAACCTTAAGCTTAAATATATTGTGGAGAAAGATGCCAAATTATCCACTACATGTAAGTTTTCTTAAATTTATTTTTTTTTTTTTTTGTAACAATAACAGTCTGGATTGGGTTATGCTGTAACAGAAAACCTAGCAAATACTGGATTAAACAAAGACAAGGTTTATTTCTCTGAAGTAACAGTCAGTAAACAAATAGGCAGGAGAGGAATGATAAGGTCACTACGCAATGCCGTCACAGACCCAGGGGCCCTCTAGCTTTCCACTTGGCCTCTGTAGGGCCTGGCTTTTCTAGTCATGCTTTAACTCTCATTGCAAGATAGCTGCACTATCTCTAGCCTCATGGCTTGTTTCAGGTAGAAGGAAGGAGGAGGTTGAAGAGCAAAAAGTCCTTATTAACTAAGTCACATTTTTAAAGAGTTTTCATAGACACCCTACTCAAGGATGTCCACCTATATATCACTAGTCAGAACTGTGTCACAAACCACCCTTGTTCAAAAGAGAAACTGGGAAATTGGTTATTAACTGGATACATTACTGCCCTTAAGAAACTTGTTTTTTTTTTCTACTTAAAGAACAAAAATGGGGTTTTCTCTATTAAAGAAAAAGGAGAATGGGCATAAACTAGAAAACTAGCAGCAGTAGCAGCCACGGTGACTATAACTAAAAATCACCATGAAGAATAGTATGCAGAAATGATATGATTAGGCTATTATGTGTGAAGCATACTAACAATTTCTATTCATCAGAATAACATAAAAATTTTAAACTATGACTAAATTTACTAGCGATTATTTCTATCTCCTCACATAACATCACAAATGTATAAATTCCCAGCACATACTTGGATTCACACACGCATATACACACACACATACAAATTTAGAATTAGAGTGACCTAATTTCTTATTGTAATTTCATGAACATCTTGCCAATCCAGGCTTTATTTATCACAAAGGCAATGAAAGAGGAAAGCGTCAAATATAGTAACCTTCCAGCATCTAATGACCAGTACACTGTAAATCCTTCAAGAGCAGAGACTATTTCATTAGATTTAGCTCTCTTAAGACATTTTTATAAAGAATTTTTTTTAAGAAAAAAATTGGTTTACAGAATCAATGAACAAAATGAACTAAAGAATGGCTAAAAAGACTTTCTGTATTTAGCTTCCTTTGTTTGTTTCTTTGCTGATTTGTTCGTTTTACATAAGTCTTACTTAATTGGTTCTTTTAAAAGCTATCAGAAGGAAATTTCAGGATATCAAGAGATGGGATCCAATCAAAGGCTTTTGCTGAGGGCTGTTTGGTGCCCAAATGAAAACAGTATTATACAACATTCAGATATCACTGATAGCGACAGGAGGCAGCCAAATGCCTAGGCAGATGGGGTGGGTTCCTGGTGAAACCCCACCTCTAAACAAAAGACAGTTTAAAGCCTGAAAGCCAAACTGCAAGTTAAACTCTGGGACCGGATTGAGAACTTATCTTCCCATTTCACATACTTTCCTCTGATTGTTCCCCGCTCTTCACCTATTTTACATATACCTACCCTTTCCTAATTGGTTTTTCTACACTGTCATGCCCACCTTTGAGTGGTGTCTTCACTTTAACCTTTTTGCATACCTCACAAACCAGCATGTACTTCCCATTTTGAGTCCCTAAAAGGTCCTGGACCCAGCCACCATGGTGGGGCTTTCCTGCCTTCCAGTAGGGGAACCACCCCCCATATCCCCTCTCTGCTGACAGTTGTTCTGTCCTTCAGTAAAATTCTTCTCCACCATCCTTACCCTTCAATGCCCAGCATATCCTCATTCTTCTTGGGTGTGGTACAAAAGCTTGGGAACTGCTGAATGCAGGTACAAGCTATAACAGAGGTGAGCTGGGGCATGCCAGGTGGGCTGTTGCCGGTCAGGGGTCCCCAGCTTCCAAAGTGACTGAGAAGAAAAGTCCTGCATCATTACCCACAAGGTTCCAGCCTTCTTCTCATGAAATTTCTCTCTTTTTTTGAAATTCAAATAGATTTGCAACTTCACCTTTATTTTTGGCAGAAGGAGTAGTGAAGAAAAGAAGGGTTTTCCATCCAATGAATGATTGTTTTGTAGAAGTGTTCTAACCGCTTTATTACCCCACCTCCACCCCCAGAGCAGAAATGAAGGGTGTTGTCAACTCCTTTGATATAGATTTAATGAGAAGAACCCTTTCTATTTATTATAGCAATATTAAAATAGGAAGCAAGAATGAAATGTTATATTTCAATGTTGCAATGTGTCTAATTATTCATCTTTATATATAACTAGAAAGACTATTATGTGATTATTTTATGTTGGAAAGATGCACATAAATATTGATATGACCCAAGGATAATAGAAAATAGGCACAATGAGGTAATCATATTTATGTCCCACAACAAAAAAACACAATCATACATTGTTTGGCCTGTATGAGGTGCATTTTTGCCTTATGAAAGAAATTTGACCAAGTTTCAAAAAATATAGTTTATAAGTGGAAAGGACAGCCGTACTTTAAATGACCTTCAAAAATGATCACATGATGTTCTCTACTCAAAACACTGGAGGAATATATATTCTAAAATAACCAGAAGATATCTAGTTTTGAATTATAGACTCTCTGGGTCCCTGAGTAGAGACATTGTGTTCCTCTCAATAAATAACTGTTCTTTCCTACTTATGTATGGAACAGATTTTCACTACAGAAGCAGAAAATCTCATCTCGTTATTGTAGGCTTCTTGGCATACAACATAGTAGAGGGATAGGATGGGTGCTCAGGTCAGTCTGAAGTTGTTAAAATCATTTAAAAAAGTAACTCAGTAATATCTATGAAAACTTGCAAACTCACATTTGTTTTGACCCTTCAAACCTACTTTGTGAAAGCTATTCTGTAAAAATTAAAGCACCAGAATTTATGAATATATAAAAACTGGTTGTTTTAGTATTATCTATTGTGACAAAAAAATAACCATCAGTAGGGCTACTACTAAACAAATTGTTGAAATTGTGTTATATTCAATATTAAGGAATATTATGCACTGGTGAAAAAACTAAAAACATTAACATATAAAGATGCTCCTGATATACAATCAAACTTGGAGAACACAATAAATTAGTCATACTCATGCCAAAAAATGCAAACTTAATGAATCTAAATTTATTAAATTTAGATTGAATACAGTCATGCAGTGACTAAATCTTACATGGCTTCTCAACACAGTCAGATTGTGTGTAAAACCACTCGCCTTCGCCATAATTTCATCAAAGCCCTCTTCATCTCACTATTTCGCAAACTGTAGATAAGCAGATTCAGCAGTGGTGTCAGAAGTGAGTAAGACAATGACATCACTTTCTTGGTTTCCGGTGAGTAGCCAGATTTGGGTTGTAAATAAGTCATACTGGCTGTGCCATAGAATAGGGTCACAGATGTGAGGTGAGCGGCACAGGTGGAAAAGGCCTTTTGTCTCCCAGTGGTTGATGGCATCTTCAGGATGGCAAACAGAACTCGAATGTAAGACAAGAGTATCAACAAGAAAGGAACCAAAATAATCAAAAAGGTGCCTGTGAATGCATAGATTTCAAACAAAAACGTGTCTGCACATGCAAGTTCTAACACTGCTGGGGTTTCACAAGATATATGGTTAATTTCATTAAGGCCACAAAAGGGAAAACTAGATACCCATGATGTTTGAACAGTACCTAACATAAAACCTAAGGCCCATGAAAATATAATTAATTTCATAAAAACTCCTTTATTCATAATCATTTGGTAGTTGAGAGGATGGCAAATTGCAGCAAATCGGTCATAAGCCATTGCTCCCAGAAGAAAACATTCAGCCCCACCAAAAAGAAGGATGAAATACATCTGTGCAAAACAGCCCCCAAAAGAAATTGTAGTTTTTTCAGTAGAGAGGACCACCAGCATTTCAGGCATAATAACTGCACTGAAACTCAGGTCCACCACAGATAAGTTCAGGAGAAACAGGTACATGGGAACGTGGAGGCTCTGGTCTAGGGAGACGATGACTATAATAATGGCATTTCCTATCAGGGTCACCAGATAAATAACCAGGAAAGCCACAAAGAGCTGCCCCTGGAGCTCAGGATAGTTAGAAAAGCCCAAGAGGATGAATTCAACCACACAGCTTTGATTTTGTCTTTCCATTTTCAGTAATGAAGTCGTGCATTGATTTTATGGACATAGTATATACAGAATAAAGCCACAGTCCATTAGCTAAGAGTTCCAGTCTGCATTCACCCCAGAAATTCTGGCAGAAGATGAGGAGCCTATCCTGACAGAAATTTTCTTTGGCAATTTTAGACAATGACCAAATACTTGGATTATATTCCAAATATAAAAAATAGAAATGAAGAATTCTGGCTCAGAGATCTTGTCAAATAATATCAAAATTTATTTGATATTATTTGAAAATTAAACATAGCCTTAATGGAAATATAAATACTTTATACCTTAGGTTCCAATCCCATAACATTGGTGCAAGTGTTCTTTATTTAACTGAATTTTACATAAATGCAAAACTTAAGACTACAAAAAATAAAATATAAAAAAGCAGATAGATTGAAAAAGATATCTCAACAAATGTGATAATAGCCTAATAATCCAATGTTACAGCATATTTGATATAAACTTATTTAAAATATTAATTAGATTCAAAGTACCTATATATGACTTGGAGAAAGAAAACAACATTCTGTAGAAACATAGAGGGGATTTGAATTTTCAACACAACCATATTAGGTGACCTATAGACTATGTGAATTGGCTTCAAGCTTGCAGATTTCTGCCCATCCTGGATCTGGCCAATTATATTGGGATTTACCTGGATGTGAAGTTTTTGGGGCCAGATCTCCAAGGTCTATCCTTCTGACCATGATGACTTAAGAAAAAAACCATTTGGGGGATCATTGTGTAATTTAAAAGATTTCACTCTCTCTCTCCTTTTCTCTCTTCTCTCTTCCCACTATACTCGTCATCAAAAAATTCATTTAATCATTAATTATTCAACAAGCACTGATTAACCAGCTACCATTTTCTAGGCTCTGCACCCTTAGGAATACACATGAATCCAGAGCTCAACAGAGAGCTAAGCACACTACATAAAATAGCTTCTAACCCCTTAACCAGTATGCTGCATAAACTAGTACCTCCCCGTACCGCATACCCCAGGACTTTCTCTTTCTTTCTCTCTCTCTTTCTATGTGTACATATATATATATATATATATATATATATATATACACACACATGCACACATATATATACACAACTGAGTGATTCAGTTCATTGATTTTATAACATTATATGGCATAGAATATAATATATCCTCTATCCTTTTTTTAAGAAATATGTGTAAAATATATTTTAAATATTTATATAAATATAAACAGATTAATATTTTATATATATTATATATATATAAGCTCTAGTAAGGTATGTGTATGTGTATGTATATATATATATATATATATATATATAAAATCCCTCACTAGAGCTTAGCTCCCAGAGGGCAAAGATTTTGTTTGCTTCTTTGCTCTACACACACTGCCTACACTACAACCCTCCCTGGCTCATAATAGGTTTTAAACCAACATTTTTGAATAAATGAATTTTAAAATAAGAAAAACCTAGACTCTATTTTTAAGGAATAGAGTGCCTAAGAGAAGTCAGCACACAACACAATTGGAAATTAATAACACGTGCTGTAGAAATTTAAGTAAGGGAATGATGACATTTGAAGGGGGTGGAGGATGAACAAACACAATCACAGGATGTCATGAATGGAAGGCCATTAGGTCGGAGGAGGATGGCAGGAGGAGGAAAACTGACTTGCTCAAGTCAGGAGGCACTTGGTGACACCATAAAACTAGAATGGAAGCCTACTGCCTTTTGTGTGATGTTTTGAAAACCAAAAGAAATTCACTGTGAGAGATGAGGAAGCCAGGAAGACAGATGGACACAGCAAGTTGAAGGCATACAGTGCTGTCTTGAGTGCAGACCTGTAGGACATTAGCAGACAGGAGAAGACAAGTTACTTTATTTCTGAATTTGTCCATAGTCATGTATTAAAATCAAATGACTGTATTTAACCACAAAAATTGTACTGTATTTTGGATGTCAAAAAACCTCCTACAATTATTAAAACCAGACTCTGTGAGGCCAAATATTTAAAATGCATTTCTAATGGCAAAAAAAAGAACAACATGTATTCAGTTCCAACTATGTAAAAGTAGATTGGTTTTAAAAATTAGAATATTTACAGAATGTTATACAAAATAGAAAATCTTTATACCTTAGAAGATCTTCATGGTGTCTTGGATAGATCACTGACAAGTAATACTTACGCAGATCACTTCCTCCCCAAGGCTTCAGCCTGCCAATGGAAAGAGGTAAGTGTTGAACTTACTAACCAAGTTCTCTTCTAGTTGCAAACTCCAGAATATGATGATTTATGCATGCAAAGCACTTACACTTCTACTTATTGCCCGAACCTTTCTCTGAAAAGAAAAAGAAATTGACTGGCATCAAACCAAAAAGTCTACTGACTCAATGTTTCAGCTGAGCCTAGTGACTCCTGAGCACTGAGCCATCACTTCAACAACATCTCCAACTATCAAAGAGGACAACTATAAACAGAAGTCCCACCAAAACGCACAGGAGCAGAATATGCACTTTTTTACCTGTTGACTCTGTCTCTTTAATTTTCATACTACTTTATCAGAAGATTCACCTGTAGTCAAAAGCCACCTATTCACAAACACAACTGACTGATTCAGAGCATTGATTCCATAATGTTATATGGCATAGAATTATATGCCCTGGAGAATTCCTCCCTGAAGAACGTGAAATCACTTCATAGAGACCTTCCTGTATTTTTGTGTGATAACTAACGAGGCTTAAACTTGGCCCCTCGGGTGAGAAAGCTCAAGAGCACAAACATGGAGCAGCACTCCTTCTTATGTCTATGGGGAATGAGCACCTCTTCCCACAAGAGACTCAATTCCACCGTGACACCTCCCAGTAGGAGGTGAGAGCAGAGGCTGAATGAACATTGTCAATAGGGAAAGAAGGGAGGGGTGGAGTGAAGGTGTGAGCAAAGGCAGGTGACCTAGGGCTAGAGGATTCACATGGACACAATGCACAGTTTGTGCAATGGAGGGAGACATGGCAGGTAGATTAAAGGTGCTTTGTAGAAAGCCTGGATGCTCCCTCTGACTCAAGAACTTTTTAACATGGAGTCAAAATATCCTGACTGGCTTGTATAACTTTGAGCACATCACTCAACTTTCTGGTTCTATTACTTTCTCTGTAAAATAAAGATAATGATATTAATCTCATAGGATGTATATAGGAATGAGGACTCAGGGTTTAGTTTAAACTGGCTTGAGCAATAAAGGAAGCCATAGGCTCTGTCCCAGGAGACAGAGATGAATGAATCTGCAGGCTTGGCTTTATCCAGAAGGCAGATGATGTGCTCACGCCGAGGCTCCACTTCTCTTCTTCTCATCTATGGTTTTGTGGGGTAGGTTCTATTCTCAAGAAAGCCCTCTTGTCCTTGCAGCAGTAAGGCTGCCAACAACACATAGGGATATTCTCCCTAATCCGTCTCCAGTGGGAAATGTCCCAGTGATGCTGAGGAAAGGGGGTTCTGAAAGAAGCAGTCCAGGGACGCCTCCCATATTAGTCCCCATGGTGGGATTACATGCCCATTCATGAACTAGTCCGGTGCCCCAAAGATGGGAAAAGCTGTCTAATAGGTACTTTTCATAATTCCTACCCCATGACATCCCATGCAGGCTTCTGTTGTACTAATATGCTCTATAACCTGATGTCAGTGACTGTATCACAGGTGATGTACAAATTGTGAGAAGTCATCAAGATGTAGAGTCATGAATTGTACACTTTACATACATTGGATTTCAACAAAGTGTATAAAAAACATTTCAGGCACATATTTAAAAGGGTAAGTGGGGAATAATAGTAATGTTAATCTCCAATTTAAAGCCAATATGTCATGGATATAACAATAATCAAAATGTGGAGATTTTTAACACACTTTCTCAAAGTTTGAGAGAGCAAACAGACAACAAAAAATACAAAATGGAAAGATTTGAATAATAAAATGTTGATTTAACAGGTGGTAATGAGAATAAATAAGATATAGAACACTTTCATCTCATTAACTCTATATTTTTATCCCAAAATATCTATATAATATTTACAAAAATTGAATATGTGTTTTGTCAAAAAGAAAATCTCAATAAATTCCAAAATCCTGGCAATCATATATATACAGCATTCCGTGTAATAAAACTGCAAAAAAAGCCCAAAATAGAAAAGAAAAACTAGTCTTAGAAACAAACTAACAACATACCTTAAAAAACTAGATGTAAAAACTCTTATGCTCATTTTATAAAAATTATATTTATTTATATAAGTGTTTTATGTACATAGGAAGAATCACAAAAAAATAGACATGAAATAATTTACATTGGCTACTTTTAGGAATGATGGAATTGGGGGATGAGAATAGAGGTATTTTTGAGAGACACTTTTGTATTTTTATTTTATAAATCTACTGCTTGAATTTAAAAGAAATAATTTTGTAATAAATAAAAGCAAGGTTTTTAAAAATAGAAAGTGAAGTTCAGCCATGAGGTCTTTGCCCATGCCTGTGTCTTGAATGGTATTGACTAGGTTTTCTTCTAGAGTTTTTATGGTTTTAGATATTACGTTTAAGTCTTTAATCCATCTTGAGTTAATTTTTGTATAAGGTGTAAGGAAGGGGTCCAGTTTCAGTTTTCTGCATATGGCTAGCCAGTTTTCCCAACACCATTTATTAAATAGGGAATCCTTTCCTCATTGCTTGTTTTTGTCAGATTTGTCAAAGGTCAGATGATTATAGATGTGTAGCATTATTTCTGAGGCCTCTGTTCTGTTCCATTGATCTATATATCTGTTTTGGTACCAGTACCATGCTGTTTTGGTTACTGTAGGCTTAGAGTATAGTTTGAAGTCAGGTAGCATGATGCTTCCAGCTTTGATCTTTTTGCTTAGGATTGTCTTGGCTATGCAAGCTCTTTTTTGGTTCCATGTGAAATTTAAAGTAGTTTTTTCTAATTCTGTGAAGAAAGTCAGTGGTAGCTTGATGGGGATAGCATGGAATCTATAAATTACTTTGGGCAGCATGGCCATTTTCATGATATTGATTCTTCCTATCCATGAGCATGTAAATGTTTTTCCATTTGTTTGTGTCCTCTCTTATTTCCTTGAGCAGTGGTTTGTAGTTCTCCTTGAAGAGGTCCTTCACATCCCTTGTAAGTTGGATTCCTAGGTATTTTATTCTCTTTGAAGCAATTGTGAATGGGAGTTCACTCATGATTTGGCTCTCTGTTTGACTATTATTGGTGTATAGGAATGCTTGTAATTTTTGTGTATTGATTTTGTATCCTGAGACTTTGCTGAAGTTGCTTATCAGCTTAAGGAAATTTGGGGCTGAGACGATGGGGTTTTCTAAATATATAATCATGTCATCTGCAGAGACAATTTGACTTCCTGTCTTCCTATTTGAATATCCTTCTCTTGCTTGATTTCCCTGGCCAGAACTTCCAATACTATGTTGAATAGGAGTGGTGAGAGAGGGCATCCTTGTCTTCTGCCAGTTTTCAAAGGAAATGCTTCCAGCTTTTGCCCATTCAGTATGATATTGGCTGTGGGTTTGTCATAAATAGCTCTTATTATTTTTAGATACATTCCATTAATACCTAGTTTATTGAGAGTTTTTAGCATGAAGTGGTGTTGAATTTTATTGAAGGACTTTTCTGCATCTATTGAGATAATCATGTGGTTTTTGTCATTGGTTCTGTTTATGTGATGGATTGCGCTTATTGATTTGCATGTGATAAACCAACTTTGCATCCCAGGGATGAAGCTGACTTGATTGTGTTGGATAAGCTTTTTGATGTGCTGCTGGATTCAGTTTGCCAGTATTTTATTGAGGATTTTTGCATCGATGTTCATCAGGGATATTGGCCTGAAATTGTCTTTTTTTGTTGTGTCTCTGCCAGGTTTTGGTATCAGGATGACACCAAAAGCAATGGCAACAAAAGCCAAAATTGACAAATGGAATCTAATTAAACTAAAGAGCTTCTGCACAGCAAAAGAAACTATCATCAGAGTGAACAGGCAACCTACAGAATGGGAGAAAATTCCTGCAATCTATCCATCTGACAACGGGCTAATATCCAGAATCTACAAGGAACTTAAACAAATTTACAAGAAAAAAGCAAACAACCCCATCAAAAAATAGGTGAAGAATATGAACAGACACTTCTCAAAAGAAGACATACATGCAGCCAACAAACATATGAAAAAAAGCTTATCATCACTGGTCATTAGAGAAATGCAAATCAAAACCACAATGAGATACCATCTCATGCCAGTTAGAATGCAGATCATTAAAAAGTCAGGAAACAACAGGTGCTGGAGAAATAGGAACGCTTTTACACTGTTGGTGGGAGTGTAAATTAGTTCTACCATTGTGGAAGACAGTGTGGCGAGGATCTAGAATCAAAAATGCCTTTTGACCCAGCAATCCCATTACTGTGTATATACCCAAAGGATTATAAATTATTCTACTATAAAGACATATGCACACATATGTTTATTGCAGCACTATTCACAATAGCAAAGTCTTGAAACCCAAATGCCCATCAATGATAGACTGGATTAAGCAAATGTGGCACATATACACCACGGAATACTATGCAGCCATGGAAAAGGATGAGTTCATGTCCTTTGTAGGGACATGGATGAAGCTGGAAACCATCATTCTCAGCAAACTATCTCAGGGACAAAAATACAAACACCACATGTTCTCACTTATAGGTGGGAATTGAACAATGAGAACACTTGGACACAGGAAGGGGAACATCACACACTGGGGCCTGTTGAGGGGTGGTAGGTGGGGGGAGGGATAGCATTAGGAGATATACCTAATGTAAATGACGAGTTAATGGGTGCAGCACACCAACATGGCACATGTATACATATGTAACAAACCTGCACATTGTGCACATGTACCCTAGAACTTAAAGTATAATAATTAAAAAAAAGAAATTTGATCCCCAATGTTGAAGGTGGGGCCTAGTGGGAGATGTTTGGGTCATGGTGGTGGATCTCTTATTAATAGACTGATTTCCTGGGGTGATGAGGGGAGTGAGTGAGTTCTTAGTTTGTTAGTTCTGCTAGAGATGGTTGCAAAAAATAGCTTGACACCTTCCCTCTTTCTCTTTTTTTCACTTCCTCTCCCACTGTGTGATCTCTATACTCTGCCTCTCCTTCCCCTTCAGCCATAAGTGGAAGCAGCTTGAGGTCCTCATCAGATGTAGATGCTGGCACCATGCTTCTTGTACAGACTGAAGAGCCATGAACTAAATAAATCTCCCTTCTTTGTAAATTACCCAGTCTCGGGTATTTCTTTGCAGCAATGCTAACAGACTAAAACATTACTACAATTGCATTGATCTTCAGATAGATAACAAAAGATGAGTCAATTGACAAACCATTGAAAATTAAATGTGAGAACCAGAGTGTCAGTCACTCACAAAGAGGTCCTCATCTCTTGCAACAAGCAGGCAGAAAAAATGGAGATCATTTTCAGGGTTCAGTAGTCACAGTGGCTGAACTTCAATGATACCTGCATGCTTAATCAAGGTAGCTATGTTAAGCCAAATCTGGAGCCAGAGTTGGAAAAAATCTAAGGCTTTGACACATGGGATAAGAATTCTAGGTGGATGCCTCCAAAGATCTGGACTTCAAAGATATCACTAAACTTTCTAACACTGCAGAAGTGACCAACCCCTCCCTATTCAGGGCAGGAAGACTATCGAAGAGGCGCACGATCAGAAACTGCCTTCCCCTCTTTTCCTCAACACCAGGCCTATAAATATGGTTAAGTCACAGCACAGCTCAGCCAGGGAAATAAGGAAAGAATGGAACAATACCACAAAAGAACTGCAAGATCTAACAGACCTTCACCAACAAGGGGAGAACCATGGTACTTGTCCTGAGGGTGCTGGACCAGGAGGCTGGTAGGCAAGGCTGGATAAGTGAAAGTTTATTGACCTGATCTGGAAAGAAAAGAAAGGGAGTTTGGCAGCAGGGAGGTCTAGGGTAGAGGCATATTGATAGGCATATGGAGTGGGCATAAAGTGTGAAGGTCTTTGTATCTTGTGTTAACACCTGGTCAGTAGGTAAAATGACTCACCCAGTTGACAAATTAGCCTACTTCTTCTGTCAGCAACCACCCCAGTGCTGGCATGATGCCCACAAGAACAAAGTGGCCTGGCAGCAGAGATAAAGGCTATGCAAAAGCCCAAGCAACGTGGAACTCATTTACCAAGACCAACCAGATTTACTAGTTATAATGTGTAACTCCTCAAAAAAATTACAAATCAGTGCATAGACCATATACAAATATACCCATACACATTTAGAATTAATGTGATATGATTTCATATTGTAATTCCTTAAACACAAATTCAGTCAACTCTATATGAATTGAAATAATACCAGTAAACAATTCAGATATTTATGTCAAATTTCATATGTAATAGAGACCACGTAAACAATCAGTAGGGATTTGTTTAACAATTATAAACCTAAAACCAGTTTAAATAGACACACAGATATATATATGTATTGCCTATTCCCAAATAATATACACAAATTATAATGACACCCCTTCATTTAGCAGAATATGTATATCTAATCTTAACATCACAGTATCAGTTTTATTCCAATTATTTTTAAGAACAATTGAGGGAGGTAACCTGGGAAGATAGGTGACCGGATATCTTGTAGCTATCTATTTAGGAACAAAAGGAAAGGCAATTTTTTTGCCTGAGCCAGTTTCCAAGCTTAACTTTTCTTTTGGCATAGTGAGTTTGGGGTTCCAAGATTTTACTTTCCTGTCACAGACTACAAAAGGAAACTTCATAAAAGTTTCTAAATCAGTGGTCTGTAAATGAAAAAGATACTGATATTATCAAATGAGAATTTGAGAAACTTCCCATGTAGCTCTCTGGTCACCAACATTGGATAAATATTTGGAAAGATACCAAGAGAAATCCAGTTTGGGATTATAATTTGTGTAAGGTCATGAAGTAGAACCATTTTTGGCCCCCCAAAATAGATGCACTTTTTTTTTACTCATCCGTGGAACAAATTTTCAATCCAAAAATAGAAACATCATCACCTTATTTGTTGGTCTCTTGAAGCTCTACCCTGTTACCAAAGCACAGTGAGCCTTCAGGCCAGTCTGAAGAACTATAATCATTTTGAAAAGTAATTCTGCAATAGCTAATAAAATTTGTAAACACAGATACTCCTCATCCTATCAGCCGCACTGTAGCAAATCTATCACACAGGTATAATGACATCAGTACATATGAGCATATGGAACAAGGCATTTATTGAAGCACTGTCTTAATGACAGTAATCCAGGCCAGGCGTGGTGGCTCACACCTGTAATCACAGCGCTTTGGGAGGCCGAGGTGGGCGGATCATCTAAGGTTGGGAGTTTGAGACCAGCCTGACCAGCATGGTGAAACCCCGTCTCTACTAAAAATACAAAAATTAGCTGGGTGTGGTGGCGCATGCCTGTAATCCCAACTACTCGGGAGGCTGAGGCAGGAGAATTGCTAGAACCCAGGAGGTGGAGGTTGCAGTGAGCCCAGATCGTGCCATTGCACTCCAGCCTGGGCTGGAGCGAAACTCCATCTCAAAAAAAAAAAAAAAAAAAATGACAGTAATCCAGTAGCTACTTGGATGTTCATAATAGAGAAATGGATGAATAAACTGTTGTGTCATGTTATGAGAACATATGTATCTACTAAAAACAAGTGACAGCAGTTCTTTATTGAGATACGTTTTCCAATAAAAAAACTCAACAAACTTACATAGTCATACAAAAAATGCAGTCTGTTTTCACCCTTTATTAAATTTAAATAGAGTTCACTCAGGCAGTGGCCAAATCTTACTCAGCTTCTCAACACAATCAGAATGTGTGTAAAATCACTTTTCTTCGCCATAGTTTTATCAAAGTCCTCTTCATCTCACTGTTTCGTAAGCTATAGATGAGCGGATTGAGCAGAGGGGTAAGCAACGTGTAAGCCAATGAGATCAGTTTCTTGGTTTCGGGTGAGTAGCCAGATTTGGGTTGTAAATAAGTCATATTGGCTGTGCCATAGAACAGGGTCACAGATGTGAGGTGAGAGGCACAGGTGGAAAAGGCCTTTTGTCTCCCAGTAGTTGATGGCATCTTCAGGATGGCAAACAGAACTCGAATGTAAGACAAGAGGATCAACAAGAAAGGAACCATAACAATCAAAATGGTGCCTGTGAAGGCATAGATTTCAAATAAGAAGGTGTCTGCACACACAAGCTCTAGTACCGGGGGAGTCTCACAGAAGAGATGATTAATTTCATTGGGGCCACAAAATGGAAAACTAAATACCCAAGTGGTCTGCACAGTAGCCACCATGATCCCTGAGATCCATGAGAATATTACTAATTTCATAAAAACCCCTCTGTTCATAATCACTGGGTAGTTCAGAGGATGGCAAATTGCAGCAAATCGGTCATAAGCCATCGCTCCCAGGAGAAAACATTCAGTCCCACCAAAAAGAAGGATGAAATACATCTGTGCAAAACAGCCCACAAAAGAAATCATAGTTTTCTCAGTAGAGAGCACCACCAGCATTTCAGGCGTAATGACTGCACTGAAACTCACCTCCACCACAGATAGGTTCAGGAGGAACAGGTACATGGGAACGTGGAGGCTCTGGTTTAAGGAGATGATGACTGTAATGATGGCATTTCCCATCAGGGTCACCACATAAATAACTAGGAAAACCCCAAAGAGCTGCACCTGGAGCTCAGGAAAGTTAGAAAAGCCCAGGAGGATGAATTCAACCACACAGCTTTGATTTTGTCTTTTCATTTCAGTAGTTGAAACTTATATTGTTTTTATGGACCTGGTATATCGAGTATGAAGTCGTAATCCCATAGCTGTGAGTTCAAGTCTGGAATTCTTGACAGCAGATGTAATGACAAGCTCATTTTGACAGAACTTCAGGTTGGCACTTTTGAAGAATGGCCAATGACTTGTAATAGTGAATCTTTAAAATACAAATAAAGAAGTGAAGTATTTTGGTTCAGAAATCTTGTTTTTAAAGTACAAAATAACAGTAAATGTTATCTGGCAACATCTTTGTTTTGTAGGTTGCTCTCTCTCTCCTCTCTTAATGCCAAGTTCCCCTTTAAAAGCCTCTGCTTTCTTTCCAAAAAGTGAAGCAGTGTCCTTAAAGGCAGGAGCCTATACCTCTTCCCTTAGTTGGATTCTTCAAGCAAAGAGCAACTGAACCTGAGTTTTGGTTACGCCTGGATTGCGAGCTAGTCTGGAACTTGGCTGCAGTCCTAACTCTGCCACTGTCTCCAAGATGGGTCTCTGCCTCTGCTGCACTTGGGTTCCCCATCTGTATGGGTTAGAAGCAGCAGAATGATCCCTTCTGGCTCTGACATAGGTGTTTCTCTAATTTGTTGATAGAAAACTGCAGGCTGCAAGGCCTCAACTCCAATCAGATGGGAGCTGGGCTGAAGGGAACATGGAGTAGTGGTGGGTGGGCACATAGGCAGCACACATGCTGCCTGAGTCACTTTGGGCCTGCCAGTCCCATGCGGAGATGACCATTTTCTTCCCAATCCAACTGCCCCTCCAGAGCCACTCTCAGGGCAAAGCGACTTCATTCTCTCTGCTCTCAACCAGAGCAACAATCCTTGTCTCCCAGTATTCCCTTCACTGTCAGGGCCCACAAGTCTTTAAAATCTGGAGTCCTCCTGGCCTCACGAGTCCATCCCCGCTGACACGCTCCACCTCACTGCCTCTTTTCCTCTCCCTTCACCTCCTCTACCTTTAAACGGAAACCTAACTGGCTATTCCATGTTTTATACCCGTTCCTCCAATCTGTACCTCAAATTTCTGACAAAATAATATCACCCTCCCTCCGAGAAACTTCAGAGTCTCCCCTTATCAGTAAAATACAATGCCCACTTCTCAGGCTGGCATTTAAGGGGAACTAGAGTGATAACAATTGCTTTAGGAATGTAAATGAGGGAAACATTACTTCTGAATGGACAGTGAGGGTGGGAAACCATAATCACAAGATGACAAGGGTGGAAGGTCCATTAAGCAGAGGAGAAAAAGCATAAGGAGGAAGGCTGCCTTGCTCAGATAGAAGGTATTCAATGACACCTTAGTACTAGCATGGACCTCCAAACTGGACTTTGTGTGATGCTTCAAAAACCAGCAGAATTTTACTGTGGGACAAGAGGAAGCCAGGAGGAGAGGACACAGCAAGCTGAAGACATCTTGATTTCATATCATTAGGACATTAGCAGAGAGGAAAAGGCAATTGATTTATTGAGTCTGACCATAGTGATATTAAAAACCAAATATATGTTTTAACTATAACAAAATTTTTTGGATGTAAAAAATCTCCTAAAATAGACTTGGCAGGAAAAAAAAATGCCTAAGTATCATTTTAATAGACAAAACTACATTTTCAGCTCCAGGCCTATAAAACCAAATACGTTTGTAAAATGAGAAAATTTAGAGTATCCTACTAAAAATGGGCAACTTTTAAGGAGCTGATAAAGCAAAGTTACAAAACAAATCTAAATTACTGCCTTCATGAGTAATTTTTTTAAGCTGAACTTAAATGCTCCATCTTTTCCCTTTAACATAAAACAACATAATGCTGATTTAGCTAATTCACTGATATGTTCTACTGGCTCTGGCATTAACTTTCTGTATAATCTTGGGCAAATAACTCCCTCATCAGGGTTTCATCTTTCTAACCAATTGGACTTATTTCTGACCGCTTTCACCCCGCTCCCTCAACTACATACCTCTAAGAATTGATGGTTTGTGCAAGCAAACCGTCTATAGATCTAATTACTGTCGAACTTTTATGTGAATATGAAGGGCACAGCAATTGACTTTCTTACCTGAGCATTGAGTTATCACTTGATAAGTATCTCCAATTATCAGTGAGGATAACTACAGAAGGCAAACCCACCAACAAGTACCAAAGCAGAATCTTCAGATCCTTATCTATTCACTGTCCCTGATTTTCATCCCATTTATGTTTTACCTCTTCAATTAAAAAGCACTTCCTAAATACAACTTAGTGATTCAATGCATTGATTTTAAATTATACTGCATTAAATTTTATGCCCTGAGAGAAATCTTCTCTGGAGAACTGACACACAATTTATACAGACTTTCCTGTATGGGGGCAAGGAATCTCCGCTGCACAAACTTGGAATACGACTCTTCCAGGTTTCCATAGGGAATTAACACCTCTTCACATGAGAGACCCAATTCCACCAAGACCTTTCCCATTAAGAAATGAAAGCAGAGACTGAATGAATGTTAATAAATAGGCACAAATGCAGAAGGGAGAAAAGAATGTGAGCGTGAGTAAAGGCAGAGTGATTTGGACAGAGGATCTGATTGGACAAGATAGACAGTTTGTGCAATGGTAGGAAATGTGTTATGGCAAGTAAATTGAAGTTACTTTGTGGAAAGCCTGGAGATACCAAAACTTATATTTTCTAGTAGTAATATGGAAATACTAAATTTTGGGGGAAAGTCTTTTAGATAATTTTATAGTCGAAACTTTTTAACTTGAAGTCAAAACATCTGAACTAATATGACTTTGAGCATCATGTCTCTTCTCTGGCTCTATTACTTTTTTGATAAAATCAAGATAATGTTATTAACTTCACAAAGTATATGTAACAATCAGAGGACTCAGAGTTAAGTTCACACTGATTTGAGCAATCAATAAGACTATTAGCTCAGTTCCAGCAAAGTATAGGGATGAATAAATCTGTAGGCTTGGCTTTATCCAGAACTCAGATAATGTTTCCAGGACCTGGATTTCTTTTTTTCTCTATTTCTCATCTCTGCTTTCCTAGAGTAGGTTCTATTCTCAATGAATATTTTCCCTTTAGTGTCAATAAGGCTGCTAACAACACTTAGGGATAGATCCTCTCTGTATCCAGTGGGCAATGTACCAGTTATCCTGAGGATAAAGGGTTTTTATTTGTAAAAACTAATCCAAGAACCCCTCCTGTATCATTTACTATGGTGGGATTACATGACTATCCACCTATAAACCAGACACTGTGACTGTGAATGAGATGAGAAATGCTACCTAATATGCAAATTTCATGGCATTCTATCCTATAACCAGGTACAGCATCAATTCTAACTATGCATACCTGAAAATGTTTAATTTTTTAAAAATCCCCAAGGTACTGTTTATAGGAGAAGGAGGTCAAAGAATGATGGTGATTCAACACACAAATGCTCTATACATAAAGCATGGTATCCTTTAAATTATTATATGAATACAAGGAAGTGAGATGAAAGCTGAGAAACAATAATGTTGCATTATTTATTTTTGCAAGATGGACTGGACAGAAGTAGAACTAGGATGTAATGAATGGAGAAAAATCATGTATACTGTAGAGGATAAATAGTAATATATAGTCCTGGATATGAATGTGTTACATAAAGAAGACAGGATTTCAAATGTTTGTGGAAGAGAGGATGAATAAATAGAAACATGGACAGGGAAGTCCATAAATAAATCACTTCAAGGGCTTTGCACACCTTTGGAACTGGTTCCTGAGTCCAAGAGTGAGGGGAAAAGGGATATACTTACCCTCGTAAAATAAGTCAAGGAGCAAATAGTCACACACTCTATTAATGAAGAAGTCTTCTCAGAATTGACAATCCCTTCGTTGAACAAGCTGAAAACCTGACTGTAAAGGCATTGTTATGAGCCTATACAGATGTCCCAGTCCCCTGAGTCATGCAAAAAAAAAGAAAAATCCATTGAAACCCTTGAAGTGGGAAATGGGAAGTGTGATATACAGAAATTATCTTCTTTCCTGTGAGTCTGTTACCTAAGATGCAAAGCAACAGAGTAAGTGCCATCAGCAGGCAATGGGAACAGCAACAATTTTTGGGGGGTGGGGGAGGGTGTTACGATGGTGGTATTGTTGGACCTATCATTGTATGTAGGGCTCCCTTGAGAATTTCTTGAAAGGTCAGTCTAGTGGTGATGAATTCCCTCAGTTTTTGCTTGTCGGGAAAAACTTTATTTCTCCTTCCATTCTGAAGGATAGCTTTTCTTGGTATAGTATTCTTGGCCACCAATTATTTTCTTTCAGCACTTTGAAAATATGACTGTCTCTTTGCTTATAGAATTTCTGCAGAGAAACCTGCTGTAAGTCTAAAGAGGACTCCCTTATATGTGACTTGATGCTTTTCTCTTGATGTTTTTAGAATTCTCTTTTTATCTTTGACTTTTAACAGTTTGACTATAATGTGCCTCAGGAAGGATCTTTTGGGGTTAAATATGTTTGGGGACTTTGAGCTTACTGGATCTGGGTCTTCATATCTCTCCCAAGACTCTGAAAGTTTTTAACTATTATTTTGTTTGATAGGTTTTCTATGCCTTTTCCCATCTCTTCCAGAACTCTCATGATACAAATATCTGTTTGCTTAATGGTGTCCCATAAGTCCTATAGGCCTTTTTCATTCTATTTTACTTATTTTATTTTTATTTTCACTCACTGGCTAATTTCAAACAACTGATCTTCAAGTTCAGATATTCATTCTTCTGCTTGATCTGGTCTGGCTATTGAAGCTCTCTGTTGTATTTTTTATTTCATTCATTGAATTCTTCAGCTGCAGGATTTCTGTTTGGTTTCTTTTTATGATATCTGTCACTGTGTTAAATTTCTCATTCATATCATGAATTGTTTTCTTGATTTTGTTGAATCTTCTATACGTATTCTCTTGTATTTTACTGAGTTTCCTTAGGATCGTTATTTTGAATTCCTTTTCTGGCAACTCATAGATCTTTTTTCCTGTGAGATCTGTTATTAAAGAGTTATTGTGTTCCTTTGGTGGTGTCGTATTTCTTTATTTTTCATGTCTTTTGTGTCTCTGCATTTATGTCTCTGCATCTGGTGGAAAAATTGCATCTTCCAAACTTTATAGAGGGGCTTTCATAGAAAAGGAATTTCACCTGCAGTTGTGTCTTTGTGTGGCTATTGAGAAAGGTGTAGTGACTCTGGTTCTGAGTAGATGTAGTAGTATAGTCTCTGTGCAATTTCTTCAACTGCAATCAACATCAGCAATAACTGTGGGTGCCTCAGTGTTGTGGCCTGTAGAAGCTTGTGGCAGTGGCAATGGTGGCATGGGTTGTTAAGGTGCTCAGTAACAAGGGCTTTGGAGGTCCTCCTTTTCTCATTTTTCCCATAATGGGGAGAGGTAGCTGAGGTGTCTCCTCTTGGTGTCAGATCTGACATGGCCTACACGCAGCTGCAGCAGTGCTAGGTTCCAGGTGCATGTGCTCAGAGCATCTGTGGAGCTGGAGTACTAAGCTCAGGGTCTCAGGAACCTATTGTGTGACCAGCTTGGGTCTTAATGTGCAGGTTCACCCTCTGTAGTGGGGTTGGATATAGACTGCCAACAGTATCTGTGACTCTGAGGCATCCCCTAGCAGCTGAGGCCTAGAAAGTCAGGTTGTATCTATGACTCTGACCCTGGAGATTAGGACATAACACTGGCTTAGCTCTGGGGAAGAAGGGGTGCTTCAGAGGTTTGGGCCCAGGCAGCATGGTACAGCTGCAATTTGGGAACCAGAACCAATAAAGTTCAGTGGCAACTCAGGTCCCAGGGGATGAGAAATCATGCTGTGGTAACTCTAGACCTTGGGAAGGTGGGAGTATCCCAGACTCTGTGAGGCAGGTGTAGTGACAGTGCAGACTCCAGAATGGTGGATCACAGCTGTTGTTTGGGCCCTGGGGGACAGGGAGCAGCACAGTGATGACTCTACTTCCTGGGAATGAGGGGTGTCTCAGCAGCTCATGCCCTAGGGGGCTAGTCCAGCTCCAGGAGAGTAGGGTACTTGAGTTGTTTGGCCTCCAGAGCATGGTGTCTAAGCTCAGGCACTGCTCTGTTTCCCTGGGATGCAGGGTACTAATATAGCTAAGCCTTGATATGTACAGCTACTCAGCCTAGGCACCAATTCCCCAGGGGCAATGTGTCACTTCAGCTAAGGACTGGGGGCATGACCACTCTGGGTGGCCCAGGCACCATTTCCCCAGGATGCAGGGCATGCTTCTGCTTAGGCTCCAGGGAGGCATGACTGCTCTGAGCAGCCAAGGTACTGTTTTTCCAGGAAGCAGGATACTGGTTCAGCTCACACACAGAGGGGCAGAACACAGCAGCAACTGGGAAGGGTATATGGAACGACTTCACCAAAGCACTGTTTCCCTGGGAGGTAGTACATAGCTTCAGCTCAAGTCCTGTGGAGCAGAGCGTGACAGCAGCTGGAGAGGTTTTTGGAGCAGCTCTGTAGAGGCAACATTTCCTCAGGAGTGGATGAGCAGCTTTAACTCAGGCTCCTAGGGGGAAGGTGCAGCAACAACTGGAAAGGGTAGATGGGCAGGTCTGCCAAAGCACTGTTTCTGTGGGAGGGAGTATGCAGCTTCAGCTCCAGCCTGAAGGGGTGAGGTACAGCAGCAAATGGGAAGGGTAGGTACAGCTGCTCACTGGTTACAGATGTTGGGCCACTGGGTAGGGGTAGTTTGGAGCCTCAGGGGTGAATGGGTGCTGTGGTCACTCACCCCCAAAGCAAAACACACTCCAGCAGTATTCCCAGGTTCAAGACAGCATTGTAATGCATAGCTGCATGGGCCACAGTCAGGGGCTGAGACAGGGGCTGGGACACAGGGCACAGTGTCAACTCCACTGGTGACAGAGGGGAGCACAGGTATAGCTATGGACTCCAGGCAGCTCTCTTAGCTGGGCTTAGTGCCTGTGAGGACTACAAGAGTCCATAACACTGAGGACTATAGGTGTCCGAGGTGTTGATGGGGCCTGCTGAGGTGACCTTGCTTGCCTTTTCCCTGCAAGGAGAAGTCCTTACTGGTTCCAAGCTGATCCCAGCTGGCAAATGGGGTGATGGGGCCCAGGTGCTTCCTTCCATTCTCTGTGTGGCTGTCCTGAGTTTCTCTGCCCACCCAGGGTTTCTGTGGCTCCCTTGATAAACTTTGGTGCTCTCCTTTAGTTATTTTTATCAAAATGTAGTGGTTTATAGTGGTTTATTTGTTGTTTTGGCTATCTTTGTGGGGGATGGGTAGGACGAGCACTATGGACTTTTAGAGGGCTATCTTGCTGTCATCAAAATCCAAATATATATAATTTTTTTAAAAATAGCAATTGATGAAGAAGCACTCTACCAGGAAGAGGCATACCCAGTGCTCTTGCCTCTCAGGATTCCCTTTGGACACTGTAATATGATGTATACTTTGGAGAGCAGGATGGTAAGGGTCAGACAGGAGTGGTATG
The DNA here is from genome assembly GCF_000001405.40 of Homo sapiens. NCBI lineage: Eukaryota > Metazoa > Chordata > Mammalia > Primates > Hominidae > Homo > Homo sapiens. The sequence goes on from NT_187583.1 coordinate 178,519, forward strand.
ATACATAAACAGTTAACATTTTAGACATGAAAGTCTCAACAGTTATACATGTCCTTTAAATATTTGCTGTCCCCCAGGGTAAAGAAAGAAGCTTATACTTTACATTCTCTGAAAGAGGACCTCTTTTCTTTTGCATAGAAATATAAATATATCTATCACTGCCAAGAAAAATGTAAATTTCTGTTATAAAATCCTCCAGGAACATCACAATTGACAGTCTCTAAGGTAGCATCCCTAAAACCATAGGGACCCTAAGGGGCCTCTCCCCAGAGAACCAATCCCCAGTAATCTCTAAGTATCAGCCTGGTCTTGCAAAACTTCATGCCTAGGGCAGAGTTTCTTTCATTCTTTCCTCAGATTTGCCTTTCAGGAACTTGACTGTGGAAGCAGCAGGGAGAATGGATTTGAGGAGGCTGCTAAAGTTAACCAGGTGAACAGTGGGTAAGCTTCGGAAAAATTAAGTGGTATAGGCAATTGGATTGGTGATTGATGGAAATCTGGGAGATGAGAACAAGGCAAGAGTGACAACTAAGTTTTGGCATAAGCAACTGAGCAAAACTTAAAAGACAAAATAGAGGATTGGATGATGAGTTCAATCTGAAACACGTGAGTTTGGGGTCAACCAAGTAGAAAAGTCCAGTAGGCAGCAGGATATACTACTCTCACAATTTTTATTCATCAATTATACCACAATAAAGCTGGAAGATAACAAAAAGAAAGGAAGGGAATAGATTGAGTAGGTATAAAGGGATAAGATCTGGGCTTCTGTCTTAAACAGAAGTGCAAAGATCTCATCTGTGGTGACAGGAGAGAAGGCAGAGTAAAGGGGTACATTTTGATGGTTCTAAGCTTGGTTCACCTTTGTATTCAGACCAGTCTGGGAATCACTGACAGCTGCTAGAGCTGATAAATTCAGAAACAATTTATTTGAAGGACAGAGGAGACTTTGGGGGAGAAAGTAGTCCTGAAAAAGAAAACAGAAGGCTAAAGCTTTGAAAATTGAGAATAGTGAGGAGGCAGAAGATGTGGGAAGATGGGAATAGGGCCAGGGCAGTAAGACTGAGATTCTGAGCACAGTCTGTGTCCTCATCTTAAGGAGGCTTAATGGCAGAGTCTTAAGAGAGGGGACTGCCTTCAAACAGCAGGAAAATCAATTTGTAAAGGAGAGGTCATCTCTCTAACATCCCTGGGGACATAGAGTTTCTAAGAAAGCCTCAGTTTGGTGACCTATGGGATAAGCTGTCCAGATCTACCTTCAAGAATGAAGAATCTTCAGGAATGAAGATTTTGCGAGTGCCAGAAAGGCCTGAGCTGTCAGCCCCTAAAAGGACTGCTTCACCTGGGGCATCTGTACCTACTAACTGATCAATGTCAGAGAATAAGGGCTTGGCCCCCACTGTGACGGTCAGGACATCTCTGAAGGGTCATCCCCGCCTTCAGTCCATTGAAGCCTTCAGGAAGTCTGCCTCAAAACTCAACTTCTTTCTTCGCTAAATCCTGCCCTTCTTTCCTTCCCTTCCACAGATGTTGATCCCATTGCACACTAATCTCTATCGCAGCATTTCCTGCAGAACCTAATCTACTATTTAAACTATTTAAACAATAGTTTAAAAATATGAATGTTTGGATCCTGACAACACCAGCAGGCACTGAAGACCCTGCATGGGGGTTGTGGGACTCTGCACCTTTGCTTTAAACATAACCACTGAAACCCCAGAAGCACCTCTCTCACCAAAGATAGTATCTTGAAGCACAGCTGAAGTTCCTGTGCCTCAGTTACCTTGTCTACAAAAGCAGAGGAATTACATTAACACTCTTTAGGCTCATACCCACTTCTAGGATGCTATTCTATTTCATTTTTCTGTTCATTATGGTAATAACAAAAGAAAGAGAACAAGGGAGATAAAATAACATGAAGAAGAAAGGGCTTAATGCATTACAAAAACCAAAGAGCAAAGAGTGAAGGAGAGAGTGGCAGAGATGATTAGGAGAGGTGTGCATGCAAGCCTGGTAGGTTCATTAGGATTTTTTCCCCAATTATAATGGGTTTTTAAATATTTTCCACAGATAAAACTGTCAGAGTTTTGTTTCAAAATTACTACTTTTTTATTGTGCTAGGTGTTAAAATGAATAGATTTGGAATGAAATAAATGTCTCATAATTATCCCTACTCCTATGGAAATGATAATGTCATCTTCAAAATGAGGGAAGATTGACTTCGAGCTGTTTCAACAAAAAGTGGGTCTAATGAGCAAAGGTGTGATTAGAGCCAATCTGGTCAAGAACACTATCCACCTGCCCATGCAATCTGGCAAAGTCATAAATTCATTCCATTGGGACTGGCTAAAAGACTGAATGGATCAATACACCTGTTAAATCATTCCATAGTCAAACATATGTTGACAGCTCAAACTTATTTTTATCAGCCTGGTCTTAGATACATGTAAAAGTAGATACATGTAAAAGTTTGGATTCAGTGGCCATTTAGACCCTGTGATTACAACAGACTGTGAGTCCCTCAAGGGCAGGGGTTTTTCAGTTTTGAAGCTCCTGTGACTATCAGTGTTGCTGGAAGGTAATTAGATAGTAGATTTATTAATTGAACAGAGATATAAATGAACAACGAAAAGCATAATTAATTGATTTGAATTAATTTGAGTCTATGTGACTTAGCTTCATGTGAAAACGGATCTCCAGTGAGCATCCAGTGTATAGACAACAAAAAGATGTCCCATAAAATTTTTTTTAACATATTCTCAGGTTACACGAAGCAAATTGAATTATTCCCTTAAATGGCTAAGTGTATTCCCATTTGGAGTTTAGAATCTGATGGTTCCCAGTTGGACCCTCCCAAGTTTGAACCAACTTTCCCAAGTCATTCACAGATAAGTTTTTAGCTACAGAAATGAAAATCCTGTCTCTATTTAGTGGTATCTGGGTGCTTTCCCAAGATGGTGGCATTGAGTATATCTTCAGGCTTATCTAAAGTAGAAACTTTTCAGAAAGCAATGTAGCAATACTATATCTGTTAAAATTAAAAGTACATTTACTCCTTGATCCAGCTCTCCCCCTTGGGATATATATGCATACAGCTGTTTATTGCATCATAGTTTGTTTTGGCAAAAAAATTGAAACTGATAGCCAACAAATACTGTGTTATTGTATAAATAGTGCGATACCCAATATTATGCAGTGACTTAAAAGGATGAATTAGACCAAATGAACTAACCTGGAGAAATATCTTTGATCTATGGTATTGCCAAAATACACAGTCCTTCTATCTTTACAAATTCAAATTGTGTGCAATGGCCTACAACCAAATAACACCACAGTGTGTGTAAAACCACTTTCTTCTCCAGTTTCCTAAGTACCCTTTAGATCTCAAGCTGTAGTTCAACAGATTAGCAGAGAGATGAGCAGAAAGCAGGCCAGAGATTTAAGTTTCTTATTTCCTAAGGAGCAGCCAGATTTCACTTGTAATAAATGATATTGGTTGTACCCATAAAAGACAAATATATGACAAGAATTTTAGCAAGAAAAAAATCATAAGATTTAGGATGATGTTCATAAATGCAGATTTCATGTATATAAGCTCTAGCATTGGTGAGATTTCACAATAGGGACCATTAATTTCATTACAGCCACAATAGCAAAAATTAAGTTTGTATCCCCAAAATGCAACACAGAAAGACAAAGAAATTATTAGAAAAAAATGCAAGACTTAAAGGCTAGAAGACTCAACAACTACATGCAATTTTTACCAAGAAATTCTAACTCATTGGAGCATGAGGTGTTTTTGTTTCTTCCAATAACTATTACCAATTAGATCACGAAAAAAATCCTTTTTCCATTGCATAGCATTTCTCTTGATGACATTTTGGGCAGACTTATGTATGTTTTCAGCTAGTTAGTTGTTAAACTAGTTTCATTCTACTATTAAGAGTTTAATCTCTTTAAAAATCCAAACTTGGCTGGGCGAGGTGGCTCACACCTGTAATCCCAGCACTTTGGGAGGTGGAGGCGGGCGGATCACGAGGTCAGGAGATCAAGACCATCCTGGCTAACACGGTGAAACCTTGTCTCTACTCAAAATAGAAAAAAAATTAGCTGGGCATGGTGGTGGGTGCCTGTAATCCCAGCTACTCGGGAGGCTGAGGCAGGAGAATGGTGTGAACCTGGGAGGTGGAGCTTGCAGAGAGATGAGATTGCGCCACTGCACTGCAGCCTGGGTGACAGTGCAAGACTCCATCTCAAATACAAAAAAAAAAAAGAAAAAATACAACCTTATAACTTATTCAAATTCTTCTTCTTCCCACCTCAAATATATACTAGAGTGATGCAAACTGGGGTAGTGGAAGCAGAGTGTGTTCCCTAGACACTTATCTTACCATCTTTTAGCAAAGATGTGGAACAAATAGAACTCTCATACATTTCTTTTTTCATTTTAATTTTTATTGTAGATTCAAGGGAAATGCATGCAAATTTGTTATAAGAGTATATTGCGTGATGCTGAAGTTTCAGCTTCTATTGATTCTGTCACCCAGATAGTGAGCATAGTACCCTACAGGAAGTTTTTCAGCCATTGCCCCCATCTCTCCTTTCATCTTTTTGGAGTCCCAGTGTGTGTTATTCCCATCTTTGTGTCCGTGTGCATCCAGGGTTTAACTCCCACTTATAAGTGAGAACATGCAATATTTGGTTTTCTGTTTCTGCATTAATTTGCTTAGGATAATGGCCTCCAGCTGCATTCATTTTGCTGCCAAAGACATGATTTTATTCTTTTTATGGCTGTGTAGTATTCCATGGTGTATATGTACCACATTTTCTTTATCAATGCACCACTGATGGGTACCTAGGTTGTTTCCAAGTCTTTGCTATTGGAATAGTGCTGCAATAAACATATGAGTGCAGGTGTCTTTTTGGTAGAACGATTTATTGTCCTTCGGGTACATACCCAGAAATGAGATTTCTGGGTGGAATGGTAGTTCATTTTTATTTCTTTGAGAAATCTATAAACTGCTTTCCACTGGGGCTGAACCAATTTACATTCTCACCAACAGTATATAAGTGTTCCGTTTTCGCTACAGCCTTGCCAGCATCTGTTGTGTTTTAACTCTTTAGTAATAGCCATTCTGGCTGGTATGAAATGATATCTCATTGTGGTTTTGATTTACCATTTCTCTGATGATTAGTGATATTGAGCATTTTTTCATGTTTGTTGGCCACTTGTCTCATACATTTCTGATGGCAGTGCAAATTATTACATTCACTTTGGATATCTATTTGGCAACGTCATCTAAAGATGAAAGTACACATGGCCTACGATTCAGCAGTTTCACTCCTGCATATATCCAACAGAAATTCATACATATATTTACCAACAGACATGCACAAGAAAGTTCAGAGCATTATACTTAATAGCCAAAAACTGGAAATAATTCAAATGTTCATCAACAGTAAATGGGCAAATTGTAGTTTAGCAAAACGATAGAATATTATACAAAGAAATATTAATGAACCACTGCAATAATAAAAGTAAATCTCAAAAACATAATGGAGAGTAGAGAAAGCTAACTCGAAAGAATACGTATCATATATTTCCACTTATATAAGTTTTAAAAACAGACAAAAGTCATCTATGAGATTAGAATCCAGATAGTGGTGACCTTTGGAATGAGACAAGGTAGTGACTGGTAGAGGGCATGAGGAGGGTTCCAGAATTCCAGTGTGTTCTGTTTCTTGATCTCAGCGATGGTGACACCAGCAATACACACTTTGTGAAAGTCATCGCACTGCTCCCTCATGATTTCTACACTTTCCCAATGAATATCATACTTGAAAAAAGTTTACATGGGGGGAATTCCTTAAAAGAAAGTTATAATTAATTTCTTCTAAATGTAGAAGGAATGAGGAAGATAGGAAAGCCACCATTCTAGCCAAATAATAATAGCTGTAATCAAGACCCACAAATAGGTGCCAAAATTCATGGGAGAAATTTTAAGGAAAATCAGGACATTTACATAGTCTCAAAGTGTCTCCCCCAAAATATGTATTACTTACAAAGGGAAAATAGTAGCTTCACAGTGGAGAAGCCTGGCAGACCCCACTTTAACAAAGTGACCAAAGTTAACATTTCCAATGATAACACATATTAACATCGTGTACCTCCTAATATGATGCACTAAGAAGGACACATCATCTCTGTAGCATTTTTCTCAAAAATGTGTAACTTCAAAACATCAGACAAATCCAAATTGAGGAGCATTCTGCAGTTTACCTGACCAGTACTTTTCAAAGGAGTGAAGGTCATGTAGGGAGAAAAGGAAAGATAAAAGGAATGTCTGTCAGAGATTGGAGACTAAGAAGACATGACAGCTAAATGCAAAGTGGGATCCTGGATTAGATTCTAGAACATAAAAGGAACATTAGTGTAAAAACTGGTGAAATCCAAATAATGTCTGTAGTTAAGCTAATAGCATTAAACCAGTGCTAATTGCTTAGTTTTAATAACTGTACTATGTTTATGTATGATGTTAACATAAGTAGAATCTGGGTGAAGAATATACAGGAACAGGAACTTCTTTATAGCTTTTTGTTTTTGTTTTTTGTTTTTTAAAGATGGGATCTCACTATGTTGTCCAGGTTGGACTCAAATACCTGGGCTCAAGACATACTCCCACTTCAGCCTCCTGGGTAACTGGGACTACAGGCATGTGATATTGTACCAGGATCTCTCTGTAGTATTTTTGAAACTTTTCTATAATTCTACAATAATTTCAAATTAAAAATAATTAAAATACAAATATACTTAACACTACTGAACTGTACACTTAAGTGATTAAGATTGTAAATTTTGTGTTTATACCATAATTTAATTTTTTTACATTATTAAAATATATGCACTTTATTATATATAATAATATATATATAACATAATTTATATGTATTAATATATCTAACTGTCACCCCAGGGCACAAGTAAAGATACATTGCAGTCTGAGGAAGGGTAAAAGAAAAAATATCTTCTATCCCTTAGAATGGGGCAGGAAAAAGTTCTGGGCCCAGGATCACATACCAATACTATTAGATGTCTCCTATTCTTAGGGCAGGGTCAAGGCAACCACTACTCCTGAGACTCAGGGTCACAGCACCTGCCTAAGACTAATATGCATAAGAACGACCAAAAAAGCTCTTTTTCCCACCCCCAATCAGTCTAAGAAACACCAAATAATAAGCAAAAGAAATCTGTTGCTAGGAGAGAAGTAAAATCACTGAAAAGGCCTTACTCCTGACACTGAAAGTCATAGCACTCACTTAAGATTAAGAATTGTTGGCTGGGCGCGGTGGCTCACGCCTGTAATCCCAGCACTTTGGGAGGCTGAGGCAGGCAGATCATGAGGTCGGGAGATCAAGACCATCCTGGCTAACACGGTGAAACCCCGTCTCTACTAAAAATACAAAAAATTAGCTGGGCACTGTGGTGGGCGCCTGTAGTCCCAGCTACTCGGGAGGCTGGGGCAGGAGAATGGCGTGAACCCGGGAGGTGGAGCTTGCAGTGAGCCGAGATCGCGCCACTGCACTCCAGCCTGGGCAACAGAGCAAGATTCCGTCTCAAAAAAAAAAAAAAAAAAAAAGAATTGTTAAGGACAAAAAAGAAAGCCCCTCTTTCTTCTCACACTTCAATGAGCCTATGAATCACTAGAGGATCTTTTGAAAATGAAGATTCAAATTCAGTAGATCTGGAGTGGGCCTTGAGATTCTGCATTTTTAGCAAGCCTCCAGATGATGCCAGTGTGGCTGGGCCACAAACCACATATTGAGTAGCAAACGTCTAAAGAACTTCAGTGTTAACCAAGAGAATCCCTGTTGGCTTGAATGACCCTAGCCCTTCCTCCAAAAAACCTTTTCGCAAAAAAAGGTACAGAAAGAACCTAACTTGTTCAAATGTGAGAAATAATCAAAAGAGAAACAGCATGATATTGAAGCAGAGACTGTAAGAAAAAAAAGTTTCAGGGAGGAAATAGCATATTAAGAACAGTGACTATAAAAATGTTACTATGAAGCCAGTAAAAATTGTGGCCAAAAAAGAAAAGCCAATAATTTTAAATACCTATGAAGAAACTGCTCCTCTAAAACAAGAGTACAAAGCACAAATATAAGCATTAAGGAAATATATAGTTAAAAAATGAAAGTTATAAAATACTAGCTACCAGAGTTCATAAAGGATATTGAATAATAAATGAAATTTTTACTACAATGGTGTCCCTATCAGAACCATTAAAGAGGAGAACATACTTCTTTTTAGAAGTCATTATGAAGTTATTATTTACACAGTTGTTAAAGTACACAAATACAGGGGCAATACAAACACACAGCTCAGAGACTGGTGACCAATGCACAGGTTGACACAGATGTCCTACCTACGTTTCCTGCATACTCCTCTTTAATGGTTCTAATAGGGACACCATTTTAGTAATGACTCCTCTTTGCCAAAACATAGAGACAAATAGAAAATAGAATAAAGAAAAATAAAACAGAAAATAAAAGGTTAAATGACCACAGAAAAGTTTTAGACTTGGAAAGCAAACCAAGAAAATCCAATGTATATAACTGATCTCTTTGAAGAAGAAATACAAAATTATATATGTATATACACATTTATTTTTTAAAGACAGGCTCTTGCTGTGCTGCCCAGGCTGTCCTCCAACTCCTAAACTCAGGTAATCCTCCCACTTTAGCCTCCAGAGTGCTGGGATTACAGGTATGTGCCACCACACCCAGCAAAATTATTTTTTAAAATTCAAGAAGGCCGGGCGTGGTGGCTCACACCTGTAATCCCAACACTTTGGGAGGCCAAGGCTGGTGGATCACCTGAATTCAGGAGTTCAAGACCAGCCTGACCAACATGGTGAAACCCCGTCTCTCCTAAAAAATACAAAAATTAGCCAGGCGTGGTGGCAGGTGCCTGTAATCCCAGCTACTCGGGAGGCTGAGGCAGGAGAGTTGTTTAAACCTGTGAGGCAGAGGTTGCAGTGAGCCGAGATCATGCCACTGCACTCCAGCCTGGGTGACAAGAGTGAAACTCTGTCTCAAAAAAAAATTTTTTTCAAGAAAAGTCTAATGAAATAAGACAAGAATCTACAGATAAACACAATTTGCACCAAAAATAAGTTAAAGGTACAGTGATTAGAAATGAAGAAATTAAACTGTCATTATTTGCAGACAACATAATGTGTCAATATAAGGTCCAAAAAGTCTGCTCTTAAGCTATTAAAAAATAAGTAAATTTGGGGAAATGACAATATAGAAGATCAATGTACTAAAAAAATTTGATAAAAAGCTAATTGTAAAAACAATTAGAAAATAAAAATTTAAGTATCGCACTTAGAATTGTATTAAATACCATCGAAAGATATGAACTACAAAATATTGCTGTGAGACATCAAATGTATATAAAAAGTAGAGCTATATACAACCAATGTACATGGATTAGAAGGATCAATATTATAAAATTGTCAGTCCTCCCAAATTTGATCTATAGATTGCATGCAATTTCAATCAAAACCCAAAAATCCTAATGTTTTTCTTATAAATTGACAAACTGCTTCTAATATTTAAGTGTAGATGCAAAGGACATAAAATAGCCACAAAAATCCAGAAGAAAAGTTGTTGTTCTTCCACTACCAGGTGGCAAGACTTATTACAAAGCTACCATAATAAAAACTGCATGGTATTTGCCATGAGAATCTACAAATAGATCAATGGAAAAGAATAGAGAGATCAGAAGAGACTTATGTACACTTGATTTATGATGAAGGTGATACTGCAGAATTGTGGAGAAAGGTTGATCTCTTGAATAAATAGTATTAGACCACCTGATTATCACTACTGGGAAAAAATAAAACTTTATCTATCTCACATCATACATCAAAATTAATTCCTAGTGGTTTACCAGACTAAATATGTTAAGTAAAGCAATAAACTTTCTGGAAGTTTATATAGGAGATTATTTTATATTCTCAGGATAGAAAATGTCTTAAACAGAAAATAAAGTTATTAATCATAAAAGAAAAAATGAGTAAATTAAGAACTCATTTATCAAAAGGCATCAAGAGACTGAAAAAACAAGCCAAAAAAATAAGAAGAGATATGTGTAACACATATTAACTGATAAATGACCTAAAACCCAGAATATTTTTAATATCCTATATATCAGTAAAGTTAACCATATTTTTATTAACTAAAGTCCATACTTAATTCAGATTTTCTTAGTTTTTCAAGAGCAATTTTAGGTTTAAAGAAAAATTGAGTGGAAAGTACAGAATTCCCACATATAGTCAACAATACTGTATTATGTGCTTAAAAATTTATAAGAGGGTAAATTTTGTGTTGTGTTTTTAACACACACAAAAAGATAAAAGGACACGGGAACATTTTTGGGGGGATTGTTATGTCTTCTACCTTGATTGTAGTGATGGTTTCACAGATGTATGTGTATGTACAAATTCATCAAATTTTATATATTAAATATGCACAGTTTATTGTATTAAACTAATTATACTTCAATAAAACTTTTTTTAAATACAGAAAGTTCCTATATACCCTCTCCACCACCACCACCCCCTCACAAAGTTTCTCTTATTAACATCTTGCATTAGTGTGACACATTTGTGATCATTGATGAACCAATTTTGATACACTATTATTAACTACAAGGCACAGTTTACATTAGGATTCACTCTTTGTATTGTACAGCTCTATGCGTTTTGAAAAATTTATGTCATGACTCCATCATTATAATATCACACAGAATAGTTTTACTATCCTAAAGTGCCTGTGCCTCCACCTGGTTATCTCTCCCTGACTCTCCTTGAACCCCTGACAACCACTGATTTTTAATTGTCTCCATAGTTTTTCATTTTTCATAAGAGCATATATTTGGAATTACACAGTATGTAGCCTTTTCAGACTGACTTCTTTCACTTAGTAGTTGCATTTAAGGCTTCTCCATATCTTTTCATGTCTTAATTGCTCATTTATTTTTATCACTGAATACTATTACATTATGTGGATGTATCACAGTTTGCTTATCCATCACCTATTGAAGGACATCTTGGTTGCTTCCAAATTTGGGCAATTACGAATAAAGCTGCTATAAATATTCATGTGCAGGTTTTTATGTGGACATAAGTTTCCAACTCACTTGGGTTAATATCTAGGAGCATAATTGCTAGATCTTACATATAGTAAAACTATGTTTAGCTTTGTAAGAAACTGCCAAACTGTCTTTCAAAGTGGCTGTACCATTTTGCATTCTGACCAGCAATGAATAAGGCTCCCACTACTCCACATCCTAACAAGCATTTAGTGTTGCCAGGATTTGGGATGTTAGCCATTCTAACAGGGGTGTCATGGTATCTTATTGTGGTTTTAGTTTGCAATTCCCTAATGACATATGAAGTTGAGCGTCTTTTCAAATATTTATTTGCCATCTGTGTATCTTCTTTAATAAGCTGTCTGTTCCAATCTTTTTACTCACCTTTTTTTTTTTGAGGCAGAGTCTCACTCTGTTGCCAGGCTGGAGTGCAGTGGTGCGATCTCAGCTCACTGCAACCTCCGCCTCCCAGATTCAAGCAATTCTCCTGCCTCAGCCTCCTGAGTAGCTGGGACTACAGGTGTGCACCACCACGCCCGGCTAACTTTCGTATTTTTAGTAAAGACGGGGTTTCACCACATTGGCCAGGATGGTCTCGGTCTCTTGACCTCGTGATCCACCAGCCTGGGCCTCCTACTCACTTTTTAAGTAGACTCTTTACTTATTATTGAGTTTTAAGAGCTATTTGTATTTTTTTTTACCCAAGTCTTTTATCAGATATGTGTTTGCAAATATTTTCTCCCAGTCTTTGGCTTATCTTTTCATTCTCTTAACAGTGTCTTTCACAGAGCATAAGTTTTTAATTTTCATGAAGCCAACTAATTCTTTTTTTAATGATTCATGCTTTTGCTGTTATATCTAAAAAGTCATCGCCAAACCCAAGGTCACCTAGATTTTCTCCTATATTATCTTCTAGCAGTTTATATTAGTACTTTTGTATTTTACATCTAGATTCATTTTTTTACATGTGGATGTCCAGTTATTTCAGCACCATTTGTTGAAAAGAGTAAACTTTCTCCATTAAATTGCTTTTGCTCCTTTGTCTAAGATCAATTGACCATTTTTGTGTAGGTTTGTTTCTGGTTCTCTATTCTACTCCACTGATTTCTCTATTATTTTAACAATACCATACTGTCTTGATTACTGTAGCTTTATAGTAGGAAGAAGTTGGATAGCAGCACTCCTCCAACTTTGTTCTTCTTCAATATTTTATTGGCTATTCTGAGTCTTTTGCCTTTGCACATAAACATTAGAATCATCTTATCAATGTCCACAAAGTTATTTGCTGGGATCTTGATTGGGATTGCATTGAATCTACAGATCAAACTGGGGAAAACTAACATCTTAACAATATTGAGTCTTTCTATTCATGAACATGGAAAATCTTCCCATTCATTTACAGCTTCTTTGATTTCTTTCCTCAGAGTGTTGTCATTTTCCTCATAGAGATCTTGTACATATTTAATTAGGTTTATATGTAAGTATTTTTTGGTGTTTCCTCTGTCCCTCTGCCTTTTCCAGTAGAAGCTTCCTTTTGTGTTCCTGCTATATTATCTTTGCCCTCCTTCTGTCCATGGACAGAAGGACATTTTTGCTCCTCCTTAGGTCCATGACTCAAGCTGCTTTTGACAGAAAATAAATTCTGGCTCTGTGATTTCTTTTCATTTGAATGTTTTATCTTGAATGATACATTGTTCATCTGAATACCTTTTACCAGATTCTTTATTTTAGCTTCATACAGGGAGAATTCCAAATCCCAGGTCCTGTTGTGCTTCATAGATTCCATCTGTTCTTTAAAATGCTTCAGATCCTGCGCTAAACAGGGAGAAATTCTGAAGCAGAACTTGAGCTCCAAGTTCGAGAAGCTGTCTTTTTTCGAGATGTCCAGTAAAAACTGCATAGTGAGGGTCATCTCATCATTCCCTTCCTGCTCCTTTACCTCCAGCAGCCTTTGCACTTCTCTGCGGGACTCCTTCCCCAGCCGGCTTTGGTCCTCTTTCACCAGGTAAGACATGGCATGAAAAAAGTCCTGGAAGCTGATGTGGCGGAAGCTGTAGAACTTCTTGATGGCAAGTCCCAATTGGTAGTCGTTACTACTCAGGAAAGCGGCAAGCCTGGGGCCATCTAAATTATGTTTCCTGAGCTCAGCTTCTTCAAATAGGAACCTCTGGTGCTGAATCCCTTCAGCTGCTAGGGAGCACAGACTCCTCAGGACCCTGTGCCGGGAAAGCTCGGAGCAGCCCCCATCATCATCGGGCGGCAGAAAGGTGGAGACGTAAGCCATGAAGATGTCAGTGCTGTTTCTAGGTGTCTCTAAGACAACTTTGCCTCTCTCCATCTGCCCCTGCAGCCAGGAGCAGACCACCCAGCAAATGCCTGGAACCTGACACGCTTTGTAGAGAATGTCATTTTTCTGTACAATGTCGAAGGCACGGTCAGCTTGCTTCTCATCCGTGAAATAGGAGCTGAAGTACCTCGCCCTCTCCTCCTCAGAGAAGCCTAGGATATGGACATGACGTGCTTGTTTCAGCAAGGGCTCCAGATTCCTCAAAGCCAGGGGCCGGGTGGTGATGAGAAGGGAGCACGTGGGGAGTGTATGTCTCCTAATTAGAAGGTGCAGCAGGCTCTCCTTGGGACTCAAACCCCTCTTCTTCAACTTTTCTTCAAAGGGCCTCTGCAGCTCATCAAAGCCATCCAGGATGAACAGGAGCCGCTCTGGCTGCCTCAGAATCTCTGTGACAGGGGCTTGATTGTCCCCGCAGCACCAGAAAAGGAGCTGCTCCAGTTTGCTCTCCAGCAGCAGGACCACTTCTTTGCAGCTTACATAAAAGACATAATCAAACCGGCCTGGGTACAGAGTACCGGTGGCCCAGTCCAACACCATTTTTCTGGCGAGAGTTGTCTTTCCAGTGCCAGCCGACCCCTGTAGCACAACTAAGGATGGGGCCAGTGAGGGCTTTTCCCCTGAATCAAATAGAGCCTCCACCGTGACAGACTCCAGCTCCTGCTCCGGGAAGGGGCAGGCAAGTGATTCTGGGCTCTCTGAGCTGGGCTTGGCCACCAGGAGCACCTGGTTGTATCTGCCATTGACTCCTGCTTCCTGCCATTCCTCTAGGCAGCGCACATGCTCTCGGTATACTTCTCTGTAATCTGAGCCAAACAAATGGGATGTTAGGTAGTGAAATGGGAATTTTAGAAGGCAAAATGGCCCCTCCAAACTGACTCTGCTCATTAGTCTTCTTGTATGTCTCCAACTTGGATCTTGCTGAGATTATAGTTCTGGCTTCATGGGGAGGGGCCACTGTATGTGTGCATGAGTGTGTGTGTGCAGGCGCAGTATGCATATGCACATCTGTATGAGTGTGCAAGGGTGTGCTCTGTGTGTGTGGATAGTTGTGCATGAATGCTGGTATCCACATGTGCTCGTGGACCTTCATGTACTGTTGTGGAGGGAAGTCATGTCAGTGTGCATCAGCAAGTGTGTGTCTGTAAGAATACATGTAAGTGCAAAATGCCTGTGTGAGAATGCATGAATGTCTGAGTGTTCATGTGAAATGTCTCCATGTGAAGAGGTGAGGACAGAGAGAGGGGAAAGGAAAGGGATGCCTGAGGATGGTGAAGTGATAGGAGCCTTGATATAGTTTGGGTGTTTATCCCCTCCAAATTTCAGGTTGAAATGTGATCCCCAATGTTGGAGGCAGGGCCTAGTGGGAGTTGTTTTTGTCATGGGGGCAAATCCCTCATGAATGTCTTGGGGCCCTCCCCACGGTAATGAACGAGTTCTTGCTCTATTAGCTACACAAGAGCTGGTTGTTTAAAGAGCCTGGCACCTCCTCCCCTCTCTCTTCCTCCCTCTCTTGCCATGTGACACACCAGCTCTGACCTTGCCTTCTTCCATAACTGAAAGCTGCCTGAGGCCTCGCCAGAAGTCAATGTTGACAATATGCCTCTTGTACCACCTGCCAAACCATGAGCCAAATAAACCTCTTTTCTTTATAAATTACCCAGTCTCAGGTATTGCTTTATAGCAATACCAAAGGGACTAAGATAAGCCTGTTCTTTTTTTTTTTTTTTTTTTTTTGAGATGGAGTTTCGCTCTGTCGCCCAGGCTGGAGTGCAGTGGCGCGATCTCGACTCACTGCAAGCTCCGCCTCCCGGGTTCACGCCATTCTCCTGCCTCAGCCTCCCGTGTAGCTGGGACCACAGGCGCACGCCACCATGCCCGGCTAATTTTTTTGTATTTTTAGTAGAGACGGGGTTTCACCGTGTTAGCCAGGATGGTCTCGATCTCCTGACCTCGTGATCCGCCTGTCTCAGCCTCCCAAAGTGCTGGGATTACAGGCGTGAGCCACTGCGCCCAGCCGATAAGCCTGTTCTTGGGAAAGGACAAGCCAAATGCTAAAGATAAAACAGCTTCTCAGAAAGAGCCATGACTCTGGGTCCATGAAACCCTCCCATTTGTACGTAGCAGAGGAGCTTTCAAGCATGAAAGGAGCCTATGGGAGGGAGCAAAGGCACCAAAAGATCCCTCCCTCCCCCCAGGCACCCACAGGAAGAACCAGCAGGCCATGAGGTCCCACACCACCCATTCTGTAGTGTGGTTCCTTGAGAGATCAGGGCCACAGAAGACTTAGAAGCGCCTGAGCAGCTTGCCAGGAAGCAGCTAGGGACAGGTCTGACCCCTACATCCTGATGCTATTTCTTCTGGTTAGTGGAAATCCCTTCACCAACACCCTCCCAGTCTCTAAGACCCTTTCTTCAGACTCTCCCCTTCTCTGCCACTGCAGCTGGAGGTAAGATGTGGGGAAGAAAGGCTAGTCTTTTCTTAAATAAATCCCAGCTTTGGCTCAGTCCCCCTCCTGACAGTTGTTGGAACCCTCAGGTGGAGACCACCAAGGACTCTGGGGCACCAGGGACTAGAGGACAAGGTGACAGAAGGCATAAGGTACAGGCTACAGGCAGCTCTGGAAATGCCATGGTGGGAGGGGAGTCCCAGTGCCATCCTGCCCTCCCCTTCCCCCGCTCCACACTCACCATGCAGACAAATATGGCTGAGCTGGTCCACAAGTTCCAACAGGTTCATGACCTTCAAGCCCTTGAGGACAACTTTCACAGCCTCCTTTTCTCCATACTTTGAAATCAGTAATTCTGCCAGGTCCACCGGAATCAGGCCCTCCAACTCCCCTCTGGCCAGTGGGGGCTGGCCCTCAGACAGGGTCATATCCCGTAAGTAGAACTTTAACTTCTTGAAATCGTTCTCCTCAAGGTCACTCAAGGCCCAGAGCAATGCCTCCCGGGGCTTTCTGGCCTTGGCCATGGCCATGGTGATCTGGGGGAAGGATCAAGTCCAGACCAGAAGACCAGTGACCTGGAGAAAGAGGCAAAAGGAGAGGTCCACTGCTGAGAGGCCCACCCTGCTTTCTGGGGGCTTGGCCAAGTTATAGAGCGGAGGCCAGGGAGAGACGAGATACATGTGCAAAGCTCCAAGAAAGACAAGCAGATGAAACGCAGGGGAATTTTCCTAGTCATTCCCCTCTGCCTCTTAGTCAGGTGACACGTGACTGTGTTGGCAAATGGGTAGGAAGGTATGTAGGTGTGTTAATCTCTCAATCTCTCTCTCTCTCCCCCAAACTCTATCTCTGTCTCTCTCTCTCCCCCCACTCCCTTCCTCTTTCCCTCTCAACACGTTCTTTATTAGGCTCTGTATGCCTCCTTAGACGGATGGATTAAGAAAAAAAAGTCTAAGTTTTTTATTTTATTTTTTTTGGAGACAGAGTCTACCTCTGTTGCCC
The DNA here is from genome assembly GCF_000001405.40 of Homo sapiens. NCBI lineage: Eukaryota > Metazoa > Chordata > Mammalia > Primates > Hominidae > Homo > Homo sapiens. Next base: position 195,466 of record NT_187583.1, read on the forward strand.
AGGCTGGGGAGCAGTGGCATGATCTCGGCTCACCTCAACCTCCACATCCCACGTTCAAGCAATTCTCCTGCCTCAGCCTCCCAAGTAGCTGGAATTGCAGGTGCCCACCACCATGCCCAGCTCACTTTTGTATTTTTAGTAGAGATGGGGTTTCACCATACGGGCCCGGCTAGACTCGATCTCCTGACCTCAGGTGATCTGCCCGCCTTGGCTTCCCAAAGTGCTGGGATTACAGGCATGAGCTACTGTGCCCGGCCAAGTTTTAAGTTTTAAAAGTGAGACTGTCCCTGGCTGTGTGAACCTATAGAAAGCTGGAGCACATTTGCTGGAACTGCTGTGGTATGGCAAGAAGGTAAAAAAAATCTACACTCAACCCATTGGCCTCACATGTCAGCCTCCTGGCCTCAGTCACACAGGGATTGCAAAGCTAGAAGTCTCCTAATTCAAATAAGGAAACAAATCCAGATAATGATAGGAAGAGGAACCGCCACCTGTGAGTGCTGACTTTGTGCCAGGTGATTTACATATCCTTTTTGATCATCTCAGAAATCGTCTCAGGAACTGTTCCACATGAGAAATTTGGCAGTCAGAGAAAAATGGTTTTTCAGAGTTTTCCAGAGCTAGGCCACCGGGCAAAGAGGCAGGATTTAAACTGGTCTATGCCCTGGGTGGAAGAGAGAGACAGAAAAAACTCAAAAGATAAAGAAATAGAAGACAGAGTCAGGAACCAGAAAGTTAGGCTAAATGTTGCCAGAAGCTGGAGACATGTATAAATACTAAAGTAACGGGAAAGGAGAGCAGAGTTTTGAATTGTGTTTCTAATGTAGAACCAAAATGTAGGCCAGGTGGCAGTCTTTGGAAAAGAAAAGCAACAATTAATAGAAAGCCTTCAGAATCCAGAAATACACCTGTGACCTAAGGCCCATAGGGAACCCATCTCAGTAGTACAATGTCACATTCATCATTGAGAGTGTTCAAAAGAGAATTTGGGAACACAGAGAGTTGTTGCCATTCAAATACCAACATTTTGACTACATACTGACAGAGAAAGAAAATGTTTGGAACATGTTAGGATACAGGGGACTTTGGTTGTGAGTCATAGGCCAGTTTGGAAAAGCAGGCCTGTGAAAGCAGGATCAATTTACAACAAAGCTTCAGGCTGCATGGGAAGACTCAGGGCTTCCCTGCAAATTTCTGATGTTGGCAGAGCTATTTAATAATTCAGGAAAGAAAAGACAACACTAGAACCTGCCAAGAAGATGTCCAGTCTAGGCTGCTTACCACAGTTCAGACTTGGGGAGCTGGAGGTGAGGCAGCGAGAACTCAGCTCCCTGATCCAGGAGCCCAGTAAGCAAAGCCTGGGGACTGAGACGAAACAGATCCCCTTTCCTGGTCCGACAGCTCTACAGGTCCAAGTTTGGGCTCTCTTAGCCCATACTCACTAGTTCACTTCTGTTTGGTGGTGCTGGTACCTACCAGCTACAGCTTGATACCTAACAGTTCCTAGTATATAGGCCTGGAACAGAAGGGCCCCTCCCCATCTGCCCCAAGCCTCTGTGAAGCAGAACCACCCACTGAATGTCAGTGGGATGACTGTCAATGGGATGGGCAATTGCTCACCAGTGGGAAACTTGACCTCATTTTTTCAAATGTTGAAGTTGAGAAACAAGGGAGGGGTGGAAGGCATGAACTATTCTGTCACCAAGAGAAAAAGAGCCCAGGAGACTTCCCACATCCCTCCCTGGAACCCACACTCCTCCTCTACCACTTAACCCCAGCCTAGGCTGGGGCAGTTTGACTAGAGAGACGAAAGAATTGAAGCACTGCCACCACCATATCCTCCGCCAGTGCACCATTTCTCTAAGTTGTTGAAATCACTGGAGAATGAAAAAGGAAGAAGATAGGAGCTCCATGAAGTAGGAATTCAAACAAGGAGAAAAACAGGCCAGGCATGGTGGTTCACGCCTGTAATCCCAGCACTTTGGGAGGCTGAGGTGCGTGGATCATTTGATGTCAGGAGTTTGAGACCAGCCTGATCAACATGGTGAAACCCTGTCTCTACTAAAAATACGCAAATTAGCCGGGAATCATGGTGCATGCCTGTAATCTCAGCTACTAGGGAGGCTGAGGCAGGAAAATTGCTTGAACCCAGGAGGCGGAGGTTGCAGCGAGCTGAGATTGTGCCACTGCACTCCAACCTGGGCAACAAAGTAAGACTTTGTCTCAAAAAAACAAAAAAGAAAAAGGAGAAAAACAAATTCCCAGAAGGCAGCCAGTCCTCTGGCCTAGAGAGCTGAGGATCCCCAAGAGCCCTGACAGAAAGAGAACAGGTTTCTCCAAAAAGAATGTCTCCAAGAAAAAAGAAAAAAGACTTGCTAGACTAGCTGATGCTATTGGCCTTCTAAAACAGCCTATTGGGAGGCTATTAGAAGGTGGAAAAAGCTAGCAGTAACTTCCAAGAAAACCAGATAAATGAAAGTAAAATAAAGAAATTACTAGCAAGAGGAGAAACAAAAAATAAAATTGGAAATATAATAGTAAACTAATATACTCAAGTGTGAATAATGTTTGCATAGAAATCATAGTGTAACCACTGAACATTGCTCTAAAATTTAAAATATAATTACATTGAAAGGATGGTGGTGGAATGTACTAGAAGAGGAAGTTGATAGACAATGCCTAAAATGTTGAATCAAAAGATAGTGATATACAGTACACATATTACTTCAAAATGCAGAGATGTAAGAAGAAATAGTTAAAATCTAATGTATTAATAGTTGTTTTAGCGAAAAGAGACTGGGCATCAGGAGAGGAAAGGACTACTGTTCCAGGGCATAAGTTTTTTAATGCCTATTGACTTTAGAAATCATAACCATGTATTACTTTGAAAAGATAAAAATTAACTTAGCAAAGAAACAGTAAGAGGTAAAGAAATGGAGTTAACATGTATAGACAAATCTCTCTGGAAGCTTGGTAACAAAAGTGATGAGAAAGGTCCTGAGGTAATATGGGAGATGTGAAGTCCAGAGAAGGTTTTGTTTGCTTTAACATGGGAAAGGGAGGAATGTACCTGGATGCTGATACAAAGCCTCCCATAGAGAGGTCAGGTTAGAAATGCAGAAGAGAAAGGCAAGCACCAGAGGGGGGAATGGAGAATGGGGATTGGGACAGGATTCGAAGCAAAGGCAAAAGATTGGCCTTTGACAGGAGGCTGGAAGGAACAGCATCCATTCATTCCTGAGGAAAGTGACAGAGGTTGTTTGGCAGAGAAAGTCAGGTGTGTGGGTTTTGTGGTCAGAAGATAAGCATGGTCATGTCTGAGTCTCCATATGCTCTGTGAAGTACATGTAAGAGTATCTCCCATGAGTGAGAGGGCAGGGGTGGTTGAGGAGAGGAGACACCTTAAGGAGGCCACTGCAAGCCTTCCCTCCTGTGCACCTCTCCTCCTCCTCCAAGGCCTCTTGTGCCCACTGCTCAGGGAGTACCCCAGAGTCCAGGGGAACAGGCAGGAATGGGACTGGCCTTTCCCAGTGCCTTGACCAAGATGAGGCTAGCGACAAAAACAAGACTGCCAAGAACCAGGACCCAGAGACCAAGATGGGAAGATAAAAGAGTGAGACACAGTTATGTAGTGAGGGTGACAGAGAGAGCAGAAAGGCCACCTACTGCAAAGGCACCAGGTCTGGAGACCACTGTGCCAGATTCAGAATCACACCTGAAGAAAGGAGGAATGAGATGCATGGAACCAACTATAATTGGAGGGTGGAGGCAAGAGATGAAATGAGTCCTCCCTGCCTATCCACCCTGGCCTGGCTACAGGCAACACTGATAATTGCAACTAAGTCCCAAAAAGGGCAGGGGTGGAGACAAAAGAAAGAGAAACCAAGCCTGGGAATAGCAAGAGATCAAAAGAGTAAAGAGTCAGAGAAGAGATACAGAGAGATATCAGAAAAATGAGCAAACAAAATAGAAAGTCAGAGAGAGATGAAGCCAGCTGGTAGGTATGAGTCTCTCACTTTCCCATACACACATACACACATACTTACACACTCACTCTATACACAGTGTTTTTTCACAGCAAACTGTTAGAAACAAGGGCAATGAGAAAAACATGTGAAGCAATTGGAGTTTCTCAATCAAGCTGCAGTGTTCCCACATTCATTATACTCTTTCCCTACCTATGGAGGCAGATCCCAAGGCAAAGTTGAACACATGTCTTCATCCTCTTGCTTCCAGGCCTTCTTTTTGACACAGGCAGGAGCTCCAACCCCAGTCTGTCCCCTCTTATACAAGGGCCCTTTGAGACAGTCCCCTCAGGCTCCCCAAAGGTCACCATCTTCTCCTTTATACCTTGGTCAGTTTTGATGGAGTTAGCACATGGATTTGGTAAGCTTAAAGGTCTTCTTGAGACAGGAGATCCTGTGGCCATTTTGGAGGTATCTGTCTCTGCTGCTAGAAGCTGTCTTTTCTCAAGAGTATTGTCACAAGGCTTTTGTAAACCAAAAAGTATCTGAGACAGGTCTCAATCAATTTAGAAAGTTTATTTTGCCAAGGTTAAGATGTGCCTATGACACAGCCTCAGGAGGTCCTGAAGTAATGTGCCTAAGGTGGTCGGGACACAGCTTGGTTTTATACATTTTAGGGAGACATGAGACATCAATCAATATATGTAAGACGTACATTGGTTCAGTCCAGAAAAGTGGGACAAGTCAAAGCAGGGAGAGGGCTTCCAGGTCATAGGTAGATAAGACATAAACAGTTGCATTATTTTTAGTTTCTGATCAGCCTTTCACTGAATACACAATTTACAGGAACAGTCACTTATGCCTTAGTCTAGCTTAGTGAAATAATGGAGCAAGGAAGCAATCAGATATGCATTTGTATCATGTTAACAGAGGGATGACTTTGAGTTCTGCTTTTTATCCACAAGGAATTTTCCCGTGGGCAAATTGTGACGGAGGTATGTAGCTTTTTTTTTTTTTTTTTTAATCTTTGTAGCTATCTTATTTAGGAATAGAGTGGGAGGCAAGTATGCCCACAGTACCCAGTCTGACTTTTCCCTTTGGCTTAGTGATTTGGGGGAACTGAGGTTTATTTTCCTTTTGCATTTCCCCACTTTTCTTTTTAAAAAGCTTTCAAAGAAAGCATTTTAGAGGAAAATGAGTCTTTGGGCTGAGGTTTTGTCTGATCTCTCATGGCTAGGATGGTTTATTCCTAGACGGGTAGGTCCCACATTATTAGGAAAGCTCATTTTTAGCAGATTGTAAAGTCACACATTCTACAAAGAGAAAATAGGGGGAGGGAAGAAGAAAAACAACAACAAACAAACAAACAATGAAGAACAATCCTGGAAAATTCATACAGGTCATGTTACTCTGAAGTCCATACATCAGTAGGCAGGTATGAAAGTGGTTTAGGTACGTAAATAGGCTGCCATTATTTTCTTCTAAAGTTTAAGTTGTTCACAAAGCTTTAAGAAAGCACGGCTTAATCTTCAGTGATTTCAAATCAGGAAAAATGGGAGAAAAGGAAAAAAAAGAAGAAGAAATATTGAAAACATTGTTTTGGAGACTTGTAGCCAGGAAAATTTTTAGAATTCAGTCTAAACTGTAGAAAGGAATAAAAACTGAAAAACATTAGGCAAGACTAGACTCTAACAAGTGTACTATAGTTTATTTTGAAACATAATTTTTCTCTCTCCAGTCCTATTTTCACTAAAGACAAGTCATAAGACAAATTCATTTGCAAAATAAGTTTTAATCTTATTATACTTGGCTGGGGTATTTTCATAAAGTCAGCAAGAATAACTATTTGTCATATAGGCTCCTCTTTTTTTTTTAATTGGCATTGCTGGAACTTTATTCCATAAGGAATCTCAGATTCAACTTTAATGCCTTAAGCCTAACCTCTGCCCACAAATATCTGTATTAATTGGGTGAATTCCTAAACTTGAATTCCCAAGAAAACTTGGGGCTCCTGGGACTATCAGAAAGTGACATTCTTTACTTACCACAGCATAATTGCCTGAGGGGTTCTTCCTGCCCACTGCATAAAGAAAGACCACGACACTGTAGTAGAAAAAGAGTTTAACAGACACAAGGCCAGCCACACCACATGGGAGATGAAATTTCTACTCAAATCATCTCATTCAAAGCTGGTAAGGTTAGAGGTTTTTCAAAGGCAGTTTTGGGGAAGGGGTGGGGGTGGCCAGGTAGCAGGTACTTGCTGCTGATTGGTTGGGGTGGAGATGAAATCACAAGGGGTTGAAGCTGTCCTCCTGCAGGCCAAATCGCTTCTGGGTGCAGCCACAGGAGTGGGGTTGTTGGTCCAGGTGGAGCCATGGGTATGAGACATGCAAAAAAGTCTGGAAACATATCTCAAAAGGCCAATCTACAATAATGGTGTTATTTGCAGCAGTAATTGGGGAAGTAGCATATCTTATAACCTCCAGAATAATGGCTGACAATTGTTTATGTCTACACCTTAGCAGGATTTAGCCTCCTCTCCTTCTCCCAGCCTGACGGCATCTCATTAGCTTTACAAAAGCAGTTGAGTTTGGGGCAAGGCCTATTATCATTTAACTATAGCCTAAATATCTTCCAAAGATAGCTTGGCCCAATAGCCCAGGAATAATTAAGGGAAAGGCAAGGTGGGGATTGTGTTAGCTTAGCTTACTGTTATACTTTTCTCACTGATATAACTTTTGCAAAGGCGTTTCAACAGGTAAGGAACCTGTACAGGGACTGTGTAGACAAGGTATGGGGCCATCTTTCCCAAGGGGTTTTCATTGGCTCTATAAGTCAACTTTGAATCCTTAAAGGCATCTGTATCTGAAAGCATGCCATTCCAGTCAAAACCTTGGTAAAATAACCTGTGTCTCCAATTGTGTCCTGTTACAAATGAAAACAGATTCTTATTGCACTTGTGCAAATGACTAATATTGCCATAAGTTAAAAATATTCACAAGTAGTTTCCAAATTTTTGAGAAATCAGGTAGAGAGAAATATGTTCCAAATTTTGTTTACGGGAGTTTACTCAATTGTTAAAAGCTGTAAAAATCTCAAAAGAAAAGTTTATTGGCTCTGAAAAACAAAGGATCAGCAATGTTTTAAACAAAATGTCATAAAAGGATTATTTCAGTCTTCTATTAGTTCAATCCATGGAGTTAACTCCTATTCTGTTTGATATTCATGAACATTTCAGCTCTCCATGGGAGTCTTGGAAGTTTTTCCTCTATTCTAGTGTCACAGTCTCCAAAGTTATTAGAAATATATTTATATAAATGTGTTATTAGTATATGTTCCCGCATTGTATGAAATTCCTGTGATTCTGATATGTCTTAGCATATGTTAACAGTAGTAATTATGATAATGTAAAATTGTTGTATGCCACAAAAGCAACCAAATTTCCTTGTCAATTGTGTCTTTATGACTGTTCTAAGACTTGTCATCCACAGTTGTTTCACTTTTATCCTTTTCAAAAGATTTTTTTTTTTTATAATCAGCTATAGGACTCTGACAGGTGTCCTTGAATGCAGTTTTCTAATAACTTTATTTTCCTTTCACACCTTCAAGGAGAAGGAGGCCTTCAAACTCCCCCAGTGGCATAGCCAGTGCTAGCAAGATGGCAGTAAGGAGTACAGGCAGGCTGGCAAAGCACATGATAAAATTACAGTGGTCATCTGGACAACTCTGATGGCTGCTTTCTATAGCATGTTCCTAAGTCTCTAGGGTGAAAGATAAGGCCTAGGCCCTCGAATACATCTCGGTGTTCAGGCTGGAGGGTGGTGCTGTGGCCTGCTCGGGACTGCTTTTCTGGGGCTTGATCACAGGACTGAGGGAAATTTGATGAGGGTGCAGCCTGCACTGCAATAAAAGGGCCTATGGTGAGATGAAACCAGGGAGGGATTACCCAAAGAAGCCAAATAAAGGAAGAGGAGCATGAAATCTGGTCAGAGAAGCTGGAAGTTAGAGCAAGATTCTGACATGAAAGGCAACATCTATAAATGAGAAATGGAATTGAAGTTGGAGGAAGTCAGTTTCCCCAGGGATAGAAAGCAGAGATTAGGAAGTGCTGGCCAGGATCCATCAGAGCCACATTGTGATGTAAGGTTGTAAGTGAATGGTTTGTTGCATCCAAGTGCACAGTACACATGAGCAAGAAGCCCCATGGTAATCAAATCTTGGGGTCTGGCCCAGCAGGAGAGAGAGAGAAAGGAATACTATACAACACTGTGATTCCAGACACCATATCATCTCTCCAGCCCAGCAATCTCCTTGTGACAATCATGGCAAAAGCCATCATTCTCTAAACTTTTTTTAATTTTTTACCTTGTAGGGAAAGGAAAACTTCTCCTCTACCCTCTTAGGTTCTTAAACTGAGACCTACAGATTAAATTGACAAAAAAAAAATTATGATTAACGGGAGAAATCATACAAATTTTATTTGATGTCAACAATTTTACATAGCATCAGGGACCTCACAGACAAGAAGTGAAAACCCCAAAGAAGCAGTTAGACCCAAAGGCTTGTATACCATTTTAACCAAGGGCTGTAAATTTTTGGAGAAGTGACAAGGCAAAGGAAAAGGATATG